>NC_000014.9:78854137-79005652 GCF_000001405.40 Homo sapiens | reverse complement strand
TGGGGAAGAGAGTTTTCCCACAGGTGCATGGGTTTATGAAAGTGAGTCCCAGACTTAAATGGAATGTTATGTTTGGAGAAAAGTCCCAAAATGTCTTAATTGCCAGGGAGGTTTGAGATGTTTAAACATAAAAATGCATTTTGACACAAAGAAATATGAAGAAAGACTCTCATCAGATAACTTCTACTGAGTAAGTACTAACTACCAACGTAGAAAATGAGATATTATTGAGTAGAAAAGAAAATGGTCACAATTTAGGGACAAAGCTTAGATGGCCACAAAAAAGAACATACTGAGGGCATTGCTAAGGTAAGAGGATATGGATTTACAGGAAGTAATTGCCAAGTACATGACTTTTTCTAGCTGTAAGGCAGGGGCCAAGAAACCGAGCAAGGGAATGTCTTTGGAATTTGGATAGTGTATCAAGTCATGAGGCAAGAGCTCCTGCGTATTAGTGGGAATACCATTTGTATTCTAGACTAGAAACTCCAACTGCCACATGGAGGCTAGTGAAACATTTGAGATTATTGACACAGAAAGTAGTGTCAGGAGGTTTAAGGTATGGGAGAACTGAAAACTTAGGAAGCAGTACCAGCAATAGAAACTCCCTTTGCTACGT
Source organism: Homo sapiens (assembly GCF_000001405.40). NCBI lineage: Eukaryota > Metazoa > Chordata > Mammalia > Primates > Hominidae > Homo > Homo sapiens. The sequence continues at coordinate 79,005,033 of NC_000014.9, read as the reverse complement.
GGCCAGGTATTTGAGGAAATCAGGTTATTAGGAAAAAATACAACATGAAAACTTAAGTCACCAAGGACAATGCAAAGGATGGAGTGAGAAGAAGGCTACAAGGGAAGAACTCAGAGTATTTTTTACATCCTGAAGGTCAATAAATGCTAATGATGAGGACGGGGCGACAGCATATAAAAAATACGTGACCTTAAAAGAAGAAACATCACTGAAGAATGATTGTAGAATCAAGGTCTGACTCCAGGAATTTAAAACATTAGGAAAAAAGCATCCTTCACTAAAGGAGACTTCCAAGAGATGCTCTCTCAATGCAGCATGTCCAGATTTTAGTTAAGGCACAGATGTTGAAGTTGTAAGGGAGTTTGTTCATGTTAGGAAAACATATACCATCAAACAACAGTGTGCCCCACTGTTGGTAATTACTTGTTCATTCCTGGTCGGCTACTTATTTAGCATGAAATATTTGTCATCAGAAATTACAAACACTATTGGCTGGGTGGAGTAGCTCACACCTGTAATCCCAGCACTTTGGGAGGCCAAGGCAGGCACATCACTTGCATCCAAGAGTTTGAGACCTGCCTGGGCAATATGGTGAAACTCATCTCTACCAAAAATGCCAAAGTAGCTGGACATGGTGGCATGTGCCTGTAGTCCCAGCTACTCGGGAGGCTGAGGTGAGAGGATCACTTGAGCCCAGGAGGTGGAGTTTGCAGTGAGCCGAGATCAAGCCACTGCATGATAAAGTGAGATACAGTCTAAAAAAAAAGAAAGAAAGAAATTATCAACACTATTTATATGAACACCATGCAAAGGCTCAGAAGTAAATGAATCACATTTTACTCAAATTAATAAATTAACTATAAAAGAAAAATCATTCCTGTGTGAGGACCCTTGGCAATCAGTTTAAATCTTTATTATCTACATATTCTAACTAAATTCTTAAGATGTGTTTGTTCTCAGAAACACCTAGAGTATGAAAGTGCAAATTCCCTACATAATTATTCTCAGAAGTGCCAGTTTTTAAGATAGCTAAATTTTCTTTTTTGAATTCTTTCTCCACCAACCCCCTTCTGGCATGTCAAGCAATCACACTTATCACATTTCATTTCCTTCAATACTATCAGCTTCACGGGTTTCACAGAGCCCACAGGATTCTGCTCATTGGAACTGATTATCAAAATCGCCATGATTAAGGTTTTGGTCGAATCCCCTAATGTTCGGCAGCTGAGCCCATCATAGAGCACCCCTGAGTAACAGGGAGGGTGTGGAATAACATTATTCCTGAGACCTGGGATGTGGCTTCTTGTTCAGTCAAACTCCACCGGAGAGTGATCTGCAATCATCTCCCCATGGCAGGCAATAATTCCTGCATTAGACCACTCAGATAATAAACCAGAAACCCCATAGTTCCCTGGTTTCTTCTGTCAAGAAATTTACTGTGAATAAGGATGAGAGTTTGGCTACGGGTCTTCCACTTCCTGGTCTCACGTTTCATGTTAAAGCACATCAGTATCAGACTCAAGCTGGCCTGGCCTTAGAGCTTCAGGCTCAAAGCGTTTTGAATTAGGGAGCAGTGACTGTGAAATTATCTACTGTAAATATTTCATTGTAAAGACTAAATTAGATTACATTTTATGGCTTTAAATGAGCAGATTTAAAAATAAGTTAATATCTACAAAGTTAAGATTGTGTATTGAAAGTTCTGGTCATTACAGAGGCTGCAAAAATTGCAGCATTGTTCCCTAAGTCTTACAATGACAAGAGCCAAAGATTCACAGACCAGTAATTTTCTTCATTCCAGGCAAGAACCAAAATTAGGAGATAAGATTACTAAAGACACCAGAACACCTCAGAATGTTCTTGGAGAGGCTGCCTTAAAAATTCAGGATATACTGGGTACTGTGATGGGTTCCTGTAGTTCAAGCTACTTGGGAGGCTGAGGCAGAAGGATCGCTTGAGCCCAGAAGCTTGAGGCTGTAATACACTATGATTACAGCTGTGAATAGCCACTGCACTCCAGTCTTGGTGACAGAGCAAGACCCCAATTCTAAAATAAACAAATAAATAAAATTCAGGATGTTTAAGTAAAGGTAGTAGGTCCTCCAAAACCTACTTAGGTTTCTAATTAAATTATACGGACTTATCAAAACACAACAGATGCTGGCAAGGTTGTGGAGAAACAGGAACACGTTTACACTGTTGGTGGGAATGTAAATTGTGTAACCATTGTGGAAGACGGTGTGGCAATTCCTCAAAGATCTAGAACCAGAAATACCGTTTGACCCAGCAATCCCACTACTGGGTATATACCCAAAGGACTATAAGTCATTCTATTACAAAGATACATGCATGCGTATGTTCATTGCAGCACTATTCACATTAGCAAATACAGGGAATCAACCCACATGCCCATCAACGAGAGACTGGATAAAGAAAATGTGATACATATACACCACGGAATACTATGCAGCCATAAAAAGGAATGAGATCATGTCCTTTGCAGGGACGTAGATGAAGCTGGAAGCCATTATTCTCAGCAAACTAACCCAGGAACAGTAAACCAAACACTGCATATTCTCACTCATAAGTGGGAGCTGAACAAAGAGAACACGTGGACACAGGGAGAGGAACAACACACACTGGGGCCTGTCAGGGGATAGGATCAGAGGAGGGAGAGCATTAGGAAAAATACCTAATGGATGCTGGGCTTAATACCTAGGTGATAGGCTGATAGTGCAGCAAACCACCGTAGTATATGTTTACCTATGTAACAAACCTGTACATCCTGCACATGTACCCCAGAACTAAAAATAAAAAATACATATACACATTTCCAATCAGGAATATGTTTACATTTGAAATCAGAATACACAGAATATTTGTGCTATTTGAATAGTCTAATCCCAGTAACCCTACGACCCACACACAACCTCTTCTACACAGTTAGCCCCTACTCTAGAGGAAACTATAGTAAGCACAAAGTAGGAAAGTTGATTCTCTAGGAAACAGGGTGAATACACAACAAAAATGATAATCTACTCAAAATCCTACTTGCTTTATTTATTGGTAACATTTTTCTTTAGAGGAGGTTTTACATTTCTAACATAAGGTTCTACCTGAAGCTTTACAAAAACTCTTTCCCAGGCCCAATACTCTGCTTTGCCCCCATTATTTATAATCTTTGTTAACAAAGCTGAGACTGTTGTGAGACTTCCATAGTAAGATCACCTTCTATTAATTGACAAATGCCACAAAAATTAGAAAGAAAAGAAGCCAGAACTTGAACTGACCTTTTACTCTCAGGTCCACGCTAATTCCCTTTAGATGCCAAGCCAGAGTGTCTCTCAGCACTGAATATAAATGCAGTGGGATTTGGGATAAGGCATGAGTATGGATTTAACTGACCAAAGAAGACTCGGGAAAATAGGTGAGACTTGGGCTGAACCCCAAAGGGGTATAGATCCAGAGAAGAGCGCCTTCCAGGGAGAAAGAAGTACAGCTGCAAGGGCATGGAGCATAATGACGACAGAATGTGCTAGTGACAGCGAGAAACCTGACCTTATTAGAATATAGAAAGCCATGAATATTCAAGAAAATGTGGTTCGAGGGACAGCTTTTGAAAAACAGATTCTGGAAGACCTTGAAAGCCAAGTGTAGGGTTTGGACTACATTGAGAAGAGGTCATTGAAGGTTCACGAGCAGAGGAATGACAGGATAAAAATGGTATTTGGGCAAGACTGATCTGGAACTAGTACATACAGTAGATTTCAGAAATACAAGCCTGGAGAACAACAATGGAGAGCTCAAAGACTGTCAAGGACTGTGAAGTCTTCTTCACTATCATGGCTTCAGTGGTTTCAAAGCAACTTACTCCTTCCTGGCTTCCCCTCGGTCGGCAGAATCCGCCACCAAAAGATTCCATGTGACAAGAGATGCAGCTTCAGGAAATAGAGCCACAATCAAATATTACCTAGGAAACCAAATATAACTAAATGCAAAATCTTACCCCACACTGAGAAATAGCTGTGAAATTTGGTTATAGCTGTGTTTATTGTTCATTAAACTTTATATAATAGGACAATATGCTAAAGGAATCCAAATGCAAATTAAATATGTTAGATGTTGAGAATACATGTGCTGTGTTGTAGGGATTAGAATAAAGCCTCTAACAATACCGAGAGTTTGTTTCACTAAACTTTCTTGTTTTAACATATTATTTTTGATTTGCTCTGTTCTCAGGAATTTTCATGAGTTGGGGACAATACGATTGTGTCCATGACATGTATGTTGAGCTGCAGGCCCTTTTCTAAAGCTCACCTCCCGCAACCTCCACCAGCAGCAGGGCACTGATGTGAGCTCTAACCAGATGACACACTTTAGTGCCAGTGTGAGGGAATCACATGGAAATTTTAGATAGGGAGAGGAGAAAGAACACTTACTCTTAAGGGCAGATAAAATCCAGATGACACCTCCCTGCCTAAATCCTTTTTTACAGAAATAAAATCATACCCCAAATATCGAGAATTTAGGTGGAATAAAGGGGCTTTATGCCAAACATCCACAAAGGCAGACAGATACCTGATCTGTGGCCCAAGTAGATACCTTACCTTTACAGAAATTACAGAAATACAAGTCTTGCCAATGGACTAAGATGCAACCGAAAGCTATAACTCCTTAAGACATAGAAACAAAGGTATTTGGATAGAAAAATCATCTCAGAAGAATTGGGAAAACTCCTAAAGAAAACTTATATTTATTTATATTACATATGTATGCACATACATGCATTTGATTTCACTCACATAAGAATATCTGAGTAAAACTGCAGTTTTAGATTTAGTAAAGGGCTGATTTCAAAGAGCATGTAGTTAATTTACCAGGAAATAATGCCTGAAGTTAGATGATATTGTTTCTTACCAATGCTCCTGAGAGTTGTTACAGTTTACAAGGTTTGACTGAATTCTCCTACAGGGAAATAAAAATTTGCAATCCAGGGTGTGAAAAAAATCAGGGGAATTTTGTGTTTTACATTTTCAGTATATAATGCATCCAACTTCTTCAATCATGTAGTACTGATTTTGGTCAACATAAAACTGTGGGATTTGATGATTGACGATAAAGTTCTACTATCTCACTCGATCACTAGAGTACTAGACTGTTACAAGAAATCTCATCTTGTGAAATAAACCACAACATCACTTTGGAAGTGAGTGCCACAGAAGAAACTGGGACCAAGAGGCTCTTTTCCCATATTATGTTATAGCGGTGTTTTCCCTCCAACCATGATCCGCTGTAAAACCATTTCCCTTTTATATAGATGTATGTATGAATGACTGTTCAGAAACAGCAAGGCTTTCTTTGAGAAAGGAGAAGGGCAAGATTGAAAAGAAATGGAACCATCTTGACATTTTCATTTTTTATCTGAAGAAGGAAATTTCATATTGGGATACTTATTATAATTCCCATATGCCTAAAAGCATTTCTTCTGGCAAGAAAACACCTAGTCCTAGTAAAACTGTTAGTGTTCTTTTCATGAAAAGAAAGCTAAGATCTTTGCACAACTCAGATGCTGAAAATATGCAAGACTCAGTCATTCAACCAACAAATATATTTTGAGTATCTGTTATGTGCCTGACATCATGCATATTCTGAAACAAGGTCATATTAATAGTTGATGAAATTAAGCATGTTTTTTTCCTACTGCCTCATACTTTTATGTGTTTTCCACATTTTCAGCAGTGAGCTTTTATAATTTCCATATCCAAAAAAACTCAGTTAAATCAAAGGTACCAATAATGCAAGGTTCCTTCATTTCTTCCGTAGGCATGTAGCAAAATCATAAATGCAAACCAGTGCCTGGTGATCAAAATAAGGACAGTCAATGGCCAAAACACTACAAGGTATAGAAACAACTCCACTTTTCTGAAGTCTCCAAATTCTTTGTTTGAAAACATTTGTTAATTTCACTTGGCAAAGGGACATGAATCAGTGGTCAAAGATCCACAAGAAAAGGGTAGGTTGAGAAAATAAACTATAATTCTAAGTGAAGAAAATAATAAGAACCACTAGCTTTTCAAGTCAAATCAATGCCTGCAATCACTGAGCTTAATCAAGTGTTTTCAGAGGGAGTGGAAGTAAAAAGTAATGTACGCCTGTAATCCCAGCACTTTGGGAGGCAGAGGTGGGAGGATCACTTCAGGACAGGAGTTCAAGACCAGCCTGGCCAACATGGTGAAACCCCGTCTCTACTGAAAAAAAAAAAAAAAAAAAAGCTGGGCATGGTGGCTGGTGCCTGTAATCTCAGTTATTCAGGAGGCTGAGGCAGGAGAATTGCTTGAACCTGGTAGGCGGATGTTGCAGTGAGCCGAGATGGCACCACTGTACTCCAGTCTGGGTGACAGAGCAAGATTCCTTCTCAAAAAAAAAAAAAAAAATTTAATGTAGCCCTCCTAACAGAAACACTCAAATTAATAAATACTTGATAGAGACACATTGGCAAGTCTTTAACTAGCTTTGCGCAGCTTCTTGCAACGTTTTCTTTGGCCAAGAAGGTTCTTTGACTACAGAGGGATTATCACTGGAGTTGAAGGCTTTTCCCTAAAATAAATGAATAAATAAAACAGTTGTAGAATATTACATACTGCCAGATCACTCTGGGACTGATGTAAAGCCTCAGAAAACCCTTAGAATTTGCGGCTTGAAGCACAGCCCATTACATGTTATGTCTTCTCCTGCTACCTTCACCCTAATCTCACAGTGCAAAGGTGAAGTCAGGTAAAAAAGAATAGGTTGGCATCAATTTTCAACCTAAATGGAGTAACAAAGACTGGAACTACAACTGACCTGATATAACCGGGAAAATGACAACACATGAAACAATGGCTCATGAGACATGAGACATCAGGCAAAGAAGAGCAGTGGTTTCTGAAATAGAGAAGATAAACTGTGAGATTTAAGACTGCTCCAGCTTACTGCCTGGAGAGAATTTCTGCATCATGGAGCAGGCAGGAAGGTTCCAGCTGGAATCCAGCCAACTCCTGCAGTTATATAGATGGAGCTAAGACTCAGAAGAGACTCTCAGCTGGCTAGAATGCAGAGCTGACATGGAGCTGGAGAAAACAGACCTAAAAGATCACATATTGTATGATTCCATTTATATATACTCCAGAAGAGACAAAAATAACAAATGCTGATACAAATTCAAACAGCAATGACCTTAAAGAGAAGAACTAACCGGAAAGGGAACAAGAAAAGTTTCTGAGAAGATGAAACTATCCTTTATCTTAACTGGTGTTGGTTACTTGGGTATAAGCATTTGTGATAATGCATGTAAGATCTATGCATTTTGCTGGATGTAAATTTTACCACCTTCAAAAAATGATCTCTTCCTTCCCTAAAAAGAAAGTAGAGGAGAAAAATAAATGAAAAGAACAAAATTATATTTATTATTTCTATTTTACAAGACAAAGTAAAGTAATTTAGATCTTTCTTGTGCCTTTAGATGTGGAAATAACTATAGGAAATTATGTCCATGTTGAAAAATATGTTGGAATTGCACCTGTATGTGACTAACATGGTAATACAAAAATTGTCTTCCGTGAAGCAATAGGCTCTAAGTGGATTATTGCCGTCACCTTAAGTAAGTAACTAGCCAAGGACACCAGAAATGAATGGGCTATAATTAAACACAGCAATGAAAATGGTCTACAAATATAGCATGTGGAAGATGGTGGAAATGAAATTATTGAGGCCACAAACTCCAACAGCTTATGATAATCCATGATAAGCTATATGCCTTTGAATTATGGAGACTATTTTTTCTTGAACCATAGGACCAAGTGTCTACTGGGGTTTGTAGAAACCAATGTGTCACCTATGAGTCCCAGCTTATTTTCAGGGAGGGTTGTGAAAAACAAAGCTGCACGCAGTCCTGGCTCTTGCTGAATCGGTTTAGTATTGCACACATATTAATATTAGCCCTGATAAAGCTTGAGAATACTCCAAATCATCCCTTCTTAATATTGATGGAACTTAAAAGCAAGTGTGATTCCCATGGGCAACAAGCTACAACCCACATCTATAGAACTGTTCCTAAGAGTACCGCTAGCTTCATTCTGCTCTTAGAAGACCCTGGGTTTCATTGTTATCTTCTGACTTCCCTTTGGCTCCATGGAATATCTGTGGGCCCGAGAATAAAAACAGATGCAGAGAAATAACCTTTGGTGCTGCCACTCCTGACGTTTCTTTTGCATCTGTCTCGCCTTCTGGGACCTGGTTATCATGGAGCTATGCTGCCCCTCTCAGCCTCACTGACTTCTCAGGACTCAGCCTCCTCCCTGCTTAGATGTACCAAACCTGCAAAATGGCACTTATTTGATGGAAATTCTGATCTTGTTCCCCGAGCAAATCAGTCCTACTTTAAATGCCCTCATTTAAAGTGAATAAAATAAAATAGCATCCCCCCCAAAAGAATAACACAGACACTAGAAATTACAGTATAATTGATGCTAACAAAAGTCGTTAAGCTCTGTGGCTAATGTGAATCTAAACCCCTATGAATTCAGATGAATTCTCATCAGGAAACTTTCCCTGAGGCATTAAGAAGATATTGGCAGTCCAGAGCCCAGACTTTGCAGTCAGACTAACATAACTCTGAATCTTTGTTCCTCAACCTAATAGTTTTGTCACCTTGAGCAAATCACTTGACTTTTCTGTCTCAGTTCTCTCATCTATGAAACTGGTATCACAATAGTATCTACTTTTAGGGTTGCCGTGGGGTTTAAATGACAATGAATTCAGCACATTGGGGCACACTGTTAAGCGGTTAAAAAACGTAATTGTGTATGAAAGAGGTATTCAAGGTAAAAAAGAAAAATGAAACTGAATATAAATTAATAAAAATTATCCAAAACATAGGGCAAAAGTTAGGGGAAAAAAATCATGTGTCTTTCTAATGTTATAAAAGGACACTGTTTAACAGGCCCACCCGAGAAACATTTAGCTCTATGGGAGAAGAACCTGTGACTGGCACTGACATTTATTGTTAGCGGGGGCCCAGAGTACAGAAGATGCCCTCTGAACCTGTAGATTTTTGTTCAGCACAGATGTTCCATAGAAAAGATAACACCAAAGGTTAAGAGATTTTTGCTTTGTAGGACATTTACCACTTTTAAATCTAAAATTTGTATTTTAATATTCTTAAGGCCTATAAATATCCAGTTCTTCAAATAGTCTTTTGTCATCTTGTTTACACTGTTACCATCTTGTTTCTCTCATTATGGAGTTAAATAAATTTGACACACATTCATTCTATATTTGCATGAGTGTTTTGTTTTTAACTTTATAATAATTATATTTGTATGAGTCATGTTTTTAACTTTTTGAAAGTAATATCGAAGAGTAGCCGGCAGGGCCATCATGTGCCATATCTCCTAAACTTCACCACTACACATTCAATTTATTATTATTCAATTTATGTTTGTAAAATTTATTCTTACAAGATAGGACCTACAAAATATCTGCACTTTAGAAGCACTGTAATTATCATGTCCAAGGTAACATAGATATTAAGGGACAGAGTCATGATTTGAACACAGGCCACCCCATTACACATTAGTGGTCTCGTCCACCGTGCTGTATGACATATGTTGGAATTGAAATAAAGCAAACACATAAAAATCAGAAGATCTAGGTCAACAGAGAATGAAAATATAAATAGTTTGGAGTATGGGCAAGATACTCTAATTCTATAATGGCTAAAGACATTTTAATTCTAAATGGCCTCATCTGAGTGTTAAGAAGGAAGACCTGAAATGTTCTGAATTCCACAATATGATGCAAATAATCATCAAGAACACAATTTCCCTTTCCCAGTTCTATGTTTTTATGCAGTTTGATTGTCTGTGAAGACTTGCCCACATGGAATTAAGCATCCTAGTCTAATATCAGTACAGATGTTAAACTGTTATTTCTAATAATGACTAAGTGGCAGCAAATCGAATAAGAATGTGAACTTTTATGTCAGACAAACCTGGGACCAAACCCTCAATCAGCTATATTCTAACAGTGTGATCTCAGTTTTGTCATAATTAAAATCAGGAGTATCGTACTATAATATTTTCTTAAGAATTTGGGGATGATTAAAAGAATGATATCCTTATAAAGGTCCTAGTAGAGTGTCAGGACCATGATAAGGACTTAACAGTTGTCAAATATTATAATTAGCTACAATAAAAACTACCACTAATCCTATTTACCAAGTACCTATTACACTCCTTATGTTACACCAAAGTTTCAGGAAGCTAAGTGAACAATTCAACTTCACAGATAGAAAGACTCAGGACTGGCATTTAAAGCAGTTTGATTCTAGAGCCAATTAAATTAATGACTATGCTTTGATTTCTTTTATCATTTAATAAGTTATACACATTACAAATCAAACTTTTAAAAATTGGATTCTTTATAAATAAATTTTCAAGATCGATCTCCACCAACGACTCAATGAAATAAATCCAGATTTGAGCCCTATGAGGCCTACATTTAGGACTCAGCAATGATTTCAACATAGGGGAGTTTCTCCCCAAGAGTTGGGCACCATAACATGCATTCTATTGAAAGAAGTTGGGAAATCTAATTTTTTTTTATATCTTGAAAAATGCATAGCCTATAGTGTTAAACCAAACAAAGCAGGGCAAAAATGTCAAACAGAATGTGATCTGAACCATGCTAATGCTTAAAATGAAGACCGGAAGGAAACATGCAGAATGTTAACAGTGACTGCAGCATATATTTTCCCTGCTTGCCTGCTGGCACGCTACCTTTCCTTTCCAGCCCTCTTCCATACCATGTTTGCTTTGAACCTACTTGTAAATTTTCAAGGCAGCCAGGCGCAGTGGCTCACACCTGTAATCCCAGCACTTTGGGAGGCCGAGGCAGGCGGATCACAAGGTCAGGAATTCGAGACCAGCCTGGCCAACAAGGTGAAACCCCGTCTCTACTAAAAAAATACAAAAATTAGCTGGACGTGGTGTGTGGCACACACCTGTAATCCCAGCTACTCAGGAGACTGAGGCAAGAGAATCACTTGAACCCAAGAGGCGGAGGTTGCAGTGAACTGAGATCGCACCACTGCAATCCAGCCTGGGCAACAGAGAGAGATTCTGTCTCAAAAAAAAAAAAAAAAAAAAAAAAAAAAAAAAATTTCAAGGCTCATCTTCAATGAAAACCATCCTAAAAGCAGCTGCTCTTCATAGAGTCTCAACCCTGGGGACAGCTGCCATTACTCCACCTTATGACTCCTCGCTATACACTGTTCATGTTTCTACTGAAGCACCTTCATATGTGTCTTTCCCCATTAGACTAGAAGGTCTTTGAGAACAAAACTCTCTTATTCATGATTATATCTGCAAATAAGAAATGTTTGGTGAGTGAATGAATCAATACATGATAAAGTGCATTCTAAGCAACAAACAATTGTTTTACAAGTGAACTTCTTACATATGGCCTATTCGCTGGGCAGGTAGAGTCTGAAAACAATGGCGGGGAATGAACACATAACCAAAAACATGGATGTACTATACTATGATATCCTTAAAAATTACTGCTATACCAATAGGTCTGGAACAACATAGGTTCATAACAACATAGGTTTTTAACATAATGTCTATGTACCTATATGGACCCAAGAGACAGAATCAGTATACACATATCTGTCCCCTTCTTTGCACACTGAGTAATGCATACATTGCTTGTATTTTCTGAAGCTTGAATGGGAAATGTGTTTTTAACAGATTTAATCAATACACCAACCTACATTAAAAAAATAAATAAACCCACACAATAAATAAAAAGCAAAAGGCCAATCAATAGCCAACACTGCAGCTTAATAGCCACTCCTGCAGAAAACTGTCTGAAAAAGACGCTTTACACTCCACTATCTGCACTATCCACAGCTGCTTGCTATTGATTTGTTGCAAGCAAAGAACATCTATTACCACATGCCAGTGTGAACCTAGGAATTTCTCCAACAGGCATCCTGCAGTGTGTGACCAGCAATGTAGCACAGGGTGGCCAGCTCCTAAGGGTGGGCTGAGGACCCACGTTCATTCCCTTTACTTCACCCCACAAAGCCATGATGAGCACCCACCTCATAAAGTCAGGAACTTGATGTGTGTTAAGGACTCATGTGCCAAAGACTGTCCTATATGTGCTTCTCCAGGGCACCAGAAGCAATAACCAAACCCCCAAATTGTATGCCACTCAAAACAGTTGTCATGTACATGGTAAAAGCCAACAATGTTGTTAAGGATAGGTATGAAATGTTTAAAACTGCTATTTTCACAAAGTCCATAAAAATGACAACCCTTTTGCACATGTGTGGGTGCATGCAGGAGGGTTCTATTCTACACAACATTTTTCGATGTTTGAAGGAAAGAAAAACTCAACAGCAGGCTGACAGTGACAATATTACCACAAAATACAGGAAGGAGATTCTGGATTTGCCTGGTGCTGCCATGGCTACAACATGCTAGAATTTCCCAGGTTCTCAGTCCTGATTTAAAATACTAATAAGAACCCAATATCAAAAAAGAATATGCCTATCAAGAACCTTTGTAAGGTTCCATTTCTTTTGTTGTTCTTAAAATGTAGCCCAAGACAGCTTTCATTAAGTTGATTTTCAGGTGGTGCTCACCCTCTGAATAGCCAGCTCCCTCAATTTTAAATGTTTCACGAGAACTGAAGATTATCTTGGAGAATGTTACTTATGTTTTCTTCCACAGATCATACTGACTTCTACATTAACTCAACATTTCTTCTGGGATGATTAGATTGCAGAATCAAAACAGCCCTAAAAGTCAACCCAAAAGAAACTCCCCATGACTTTACCATTACATAACATTGTGGAAGGTCATATCTAAAACTATGTAAGACAATTAGCAAATCAATTACACTTGGATTTCCAATCAGAGGATTTTTGTTTCCTAACCCCATACAAGGGAGTCACTCTTATACAAGACAATCAGCTCTAAAGAATATCAGCTTTGCACAGCTATGTTTATAAGAGTGAAACTGAAATTCATCCCACTGCCTCCATCAACCCACCAGGGTCACACAAAGAATAAAGAAATAAAGTGAAAACATCCAGGCTTGGCCAACTCACACTAAATGAGACTAAGTTTTAAAATGTACGCTGTACTCATAGAGGCAACATCTATGTAACAGCACATTAACATTGTCAGGCAATCATATTTGGTAAACAGGCAAGAAAAACACAAAGGTCATAAAAGAACCAATGCTAGGAAAAAGGAATACCCTAAAATGCAGACATTTTTAGAGCCTTACAAGTCATGCCTACATATGATTAACTTTTTTACACATGATGGATTTAGTACCTTATTTTGGAAAATATAAGACCTAGCTATTTCCCTGTTGAGTAAGTTTCAGTTTTTGGATATGTAGTAATAAACTGAAGTGTTTTCATGTTCATTAATTGAGGATCAATCTGTTGCCCTGAGAAACAGCTTCTGGAAAATGAGATATCCATAACCATTTTTCCCCCACAAAATGCTTTTTACAATTAAATTTCATCTCTAACCTATTTGCATGGTCCTATGATAGCATTTAAATGGATACAATTTGTTTGAGCTATATGCAACATTCTATAGAACACTCTCTTTGCAGGAATTAATTAGGTAAAAGCCAGGTTTCCTTGATGGCACTCGACTTTTAATGCTGTGACCCATTTCTGTTATTTAGGTCAAAGGCAGGCCACTTGTGGCAGGCATGTTACCAAAGCAATTGCTGATGACCTCTGTGCTCTTCCATATAAGACCCACTTTCTGATTTTCTCTATATTCCTTTTCATCATTATTCTTCCTCCTCCATGAGCTTATCTTTCTTTGCAATTTCCCCCACCACTTTTTGCTGATGATAAGCATGAGCCTATTCAAGTCTGCCGGTGATGATGAAGGTTAACACTTGAGTCCTGATACAGGCTACGCCACCAAAAATTTATCAACAAAGGTAAGCATATAGAATATCATGCAGGTAACTTCATTTTGAAGATGTTTGTGAGATGAAATAGCCAATTATAACTCTAAGGGTCAAGGCTGCTATAGAAAATAATGGTCTATGATATAGTGAGACTGCTTTTTCTAGGTAGAACAAACTGGCTTTGCTGCTAGTTCCAAAACAGAAGGTCTTCCAGATAACTTGAATACCAATTATTGGAAACAGAAACGTCCAATGTAATAATTTTAAACAATCTACCATTCTGCTATATTTGGTTGGATTTCATTAAAAGTTTATATTCAAACTTCACAGTCACATCCTATATGTCTCAATTCTATATACTTATCACACTCCACAACTAAGATGTGTACTTCCCTGTAATCCCAGCACTTTGGGAGGCTGAGGAGGGCGGATCACGAGGTCAGGAGTTCAAGACCAGCCTGGCCAACATGATGAAACCCTGTCTCTACTAAAAATACAAAAAATTAGCTGAGCGTAGTGGCAGGCACCTGTAATCCCAGCTACTCAGGAGGCTGAGGCAGGAGAATCGCTTGAACCTGGGAGGTGGAGGTTGCAGTGAGCCGAGATTGTGCCACTGCACTCCAGCCCGGGCAATAGCAGAATGAGACTCCGTCTCAAAAAAAAAAAAAAAAAAAAAAAAATAGATGTGAACTTCATCATTTGCATGTATCTATGTATCTATCCAATCACAGAAGCCGTGGTCCAATCTCCAGGTGGGGGACTAGGCAAGTAGCTCCTGTTAGAGAGGCAGTTTCCCAAGTCTGCTATAATGAAAAGATTTAGCTGCATTGTTACAGAATAAAATTCAAAATGTATTGCCCTAAACCTAGATTTACTAGAAATGTTTTTGAACTGTGATAAGCTGTTGCCACAAAGGAAAGCTGACATTTTCCCAATGTAAGTTCTAGTGCTTCATTATATCCCAACAAATTCCCCAAGTCAGACAGTGTGATACTCCACATCCCAGAATGAGACACAATCTGCTCTTGATAAAACCAGAAACAGTCACAGAATGCTAGAAAGAATCCTTCCTGATTTTTACCAGAAAATAATGCCTGGCATTGGGTGACAGACAGGAACTTGTCAAAGACAGAAAAAGACATACCTACCTTCTGAAAATTGTGCGTGCTCACCACGTTACGATAACTTACCTTTATACCTGTTCTGTGTGGAGAGTCTCTTCCTGACCATTTTCTACCCAGAAAGGGACGTATATGCGACAAGAAATAAACTTGTGAGGATAAAGAAGCATTATGCCACCATTTAGAGAAAAAAGCCTTCCTAGTGAGTGCTATACTGACAAATTGGAGGAAAAAGAAAGAGCATATAGTATAATTCCTCAGGTTCTCTGGCTGGCTGGGTTTATAACTACCTGTTTCAGAGTGAAACAGTATTTCCACATCATAAATATGGCAACATGACTTTCAATAATACCAAAAGACTTGGTAAGAGCAGTCTTATACCAAAACTTTCTCCAGACATCGTATCCTTCACATGACAGATACAGAGACATATGCTTATGTAATTAGATGAATGCGTATTACATAATTTTCTCTCTATATTGCCAACTTCTCCACTTGTTTCTCCTCAGTGTACCTTAAGAGAATGAAAGAGCATATGGGACCAAAACTACTGAGAAAAAACGGGAAAAAGAACAACAACAGACAGCTGCACACAGATAAAAAGCTGAGAAATAAAGAATCAAAAAAACCACATAGATCTGGGGGGCATAGCATTGTAATTGGTGTCTGCTCCCATGTGGTCACACCATAATGTGACTTTACTATTTTCTCAGATAACATCATGCATCATTTTTCTAAAACCAAGAGGTCAAATGAGTCTGGATTATAAAACAAAGGCTGCATTTAGAAAGTCAGAAGGTTAGCAGGACCCACAGAGTCAGGGATTTTCAACAAATCTCTTTGCCACGGTTATTCAGAAATTTCAAGTGTGTGCTCATCTTTACTATGGTCACATCAAGAAAATAACATGAGAAAGAAGTGGAGACACAGGTTATAGATGCCCACAGCATTGAGGTGTCTCCACCATCAGTGCTAGAAGCACCTTCATGAAGTCAGAACTAAACCCACGAGCCAGAAGCATCACTAGTGGACACAATTAACAATCACAAGACTCTCTTCCAATAAAAACCAAATACATAATATATACATATAAAATATACTCACAAAATAGAAAATACATACATACATATATATACACACACACACACATATATATACACACATACATACAGAATAGCTATGTGTATATAAACCAGATACCAATAAATTTAGTCAGAGAGAATTTCTACCCTATATCTGAAAGATACCCAAGAACGCTTTAAGCTTTGCTAATTGTAAAAAATAAACTCTTGAATGTCTTTGTCATTTGTAAGGCCTAAGAAATTCAGAGAACTCAAACTTTTTGAGAAAACAGCTATACCCTTTAAATAGCCTCAAAATTCTAGGCAATGCAAAAGGGGAGAGTCTCAAAATTATTAACCAATTTGGAGTTAAATTCAATAAGATAAGGTGATTTAATTCATGAAGAACTGAAGCCCTTACAACAAAAATATTGCCTGAAATGGTTTGCTGCTGTGGTTATTGTTTCTCAGTCGCTATTCTAATCTAAAGAAAAAACACAGGGAGTGAGCAAGTGGGAGAATATTTAGTGTTGTTAAGCAAGACACATCTCTTCACTCTTCTCATAAGAGCACTAGTCATTTATTTCCCAAGTTTCTGGAGGAGAGAATTACTTATGAATCTTTCAGAAGAGCCATCCTTTTACATATTGTCCTTTAAGATTCTCCAAATCTCCAAACATCTTCACAAAGTTCCAGTATGAAAGGTTGTTGTACTTACGATCATTGCACTGGTTTCCAGAATAAGAGGTCATAGAACAATCACAGGTGAAGCCCTCCCATTGTTGCATGCAGACCCCCTGGTTGGCACATGAATCTTCCTGGCAGGTGGTACTGGGTCCTAGTAATGCACAAGAAGAGGGGAAAAAAAGAAAAAGGAGAGAGAGAAGAAATGTTAAAAATTAGATTCAAGGAAATCACCTGAATTTACCATTCTCATGCCCCCAAACATTTGAAGACACACCACCAAAATTGTCAACTCAATCTCATGCAACAAGAACTCAGTATATACAAAAGATGACGGAAATACACACTTAGCCACAAACTATCAACAGTTATACACAGAAGGGAGAGGGCTGAACACACTGTTCTCCTTCGGGTTGACTTTGCAAAATAGCTTCATCTCTACCTTTCAACTAGAAAGATATCTCATTTGGATTATAGCTTTTTTTAATGTAGAATGCTAACTCAGAAAAAAAAAATCATTCCCATGATTCTTATAAATTAAGGCACAGTGTTTTTTTAATCCTGAAACCAACAGTCCCTATATCTACTTCGTGACATAAAAAAAGATGTTTAATGATATTGATAATGATGAAGAGAAGGAAGAGAAGGAGAAGAAGGAGGATTTAGCAGCCAACATGTATTGATGTTTTTTAGGGGGCGAGTACTGGGTACTAAACAATGTATTTACATTATCTTGCTGAGCTCTCCAGGTACTCTAAGAGGTAAGTAATTATGATTACCTCCACTTTACAGATTTTAAGAAACTGAGCTCGGGAAGACACAGTAATTTACTCAAGGTCACACATTTGGTAATTGAAGGATGCTGATGTCCAACTTAGGTAAAGTAACTCTAAAACGCATGCTGTGGACTATACCAGTGGTTCTCAATGTGTAGTTCTCAGACGACCACAACCTGGGAATGTGTCAGGAATGCAAACGCTTGGAGCTCACCCCAGACCCATTGAATTAGAAACTTTTGCAGGGAGGCACACATCTGTTTTTACAAGCTTCCAGGACATTCAAATGCAGTCTGAAGTTTGAAAGCCGTTGCACTACAGCACACTGCTGCTCTAGGTATTCTAAAAATGAATTCTTTTTTTTTTTTTTTTTTTTTTTTGAGACAGTCTCGCTCTGTTGCTAGACTGGAGTGCAGTGGCACGATCTTGGCTCACTGCAATCTCCACCTCCCAGCTTCAAGCAATTCTCCTGCCTCAGCCTCCCGAGTAGTTGGGATTACAGGCACACGCCACTACACTCAGCTAATTTTTTTGTATTTTTAGTAGAGACAGGGTTTCACCATGTTGGCCAAGATCGTCTCGATCTCCTGACCTCGTGATCTGCCCACCTCAGCCTCCCAAAGTGCTGGGATTACAGGTGTGAACCACTGCACCAAGCTAAAAATGGATTCTCTTAAATGGAGTGTGCATGCGCTGGAGCATGCAAAAGAGAATCATTTGTGCTATAGAAAGAAAATATTAGAAATTGTGTTTCTTTTAATTAATTCTAAATTATTTCTATTTCTGTGTGTCTTTCATATGTTAATATATAAGAATAATAGTACATGTATATAACTTACAAGTAAATTTACCTATTTTGAAGGCATTCTCCAAATCTTTTACTGACATGTGGGGGCATTAAAATTTTTTTGATGATCTCTCTCTTACAGATTGCCATTAAACTCTTTCGGTCCGCCTGGCACTTCTCTTCAACCATTCTCTCTCTTTTACTGACATTTTCTGCCTTAACTTTGGGATTAAAGATAAATCTATACATTTAGGATTATCTGAGCTCACAGGAAATATCTTAATATTCAGTATAACTCCATGAATTTCCCAGAGAATCTCAGCAAACGAGATGAGCCCTTTGACTCACCAAATGTATTAGTCAGGAACTAATGCATAAAAGCACTTGACAGGGTAAAACATATTACCATTGCAATAACAGCATATTTCACAGTTTCTAACGTAAGCCTCACAAAAGCAAGAATACTGAAATGAAAGAACACAGGGTCCTAAAGACGCATGTTCAAAAGAGATGCACGACTACAAAGGGTTCGTCTTCTGGGTGGCAAGGCATTTTGTATTTATTCATGAAGGGTGGAAGCAGGACAGGCCATCACTCATAAGACAATGCTATGAGGATATGACATAAGAAAGTTCAAAACAATTACTAACACTGGGGTTACAGTACTGCTGCTGGCTTTCTGCAGCTCCTATTGGCCATGTGGTTCCCCCATGTAGAGATGAAAGGAGGTATGTGGTCATGTTCTCAGTGGGTCTTAAACTCAAGCATTGTGTTATACAAGTTTCATTAACAATGGTAAATCAGGACAGCTTCTTTCAAAGGATAAAAGCTTCTGAGAAGTCCACAGGGGCTCCCTGGCCAAACAGCTCTCACCATACAATTGGCTAGTAATTCAATTGTACTCAATAATCAGAAACACATGGAAGGTTTATGGAAAGTTTTACTGTAAAAGGCAGTAAAACAGCAAAAACTCTGGGAAAACACAATAATTCTTTGAATGTTGATTGAATCTAAAGACGAAGCCTTTTCCATATCTTTCGCCTTCCCTCTAACTGCCAAATTTTAACCATTTTTCTAAGGACCAGCCTGAATGCCTTCTTCAAATGAAACATTAGTCAATAACTTCAAACAATAATTCTCCCGCTTTGTTGTGGCCATAGCAATTATTATCTGCGTCATTAATTTTTGCATATAATATTCAGTTTAGCACTTTATTACGCATTGCACTGTCTTCTCCTCATATAATCCTCTAATTGCTTTATGTTTTTACTATTTTATCATCAAAAGTTTGAAAGCTGCTTGCTATTAGAAATCAGGTAATATTCTCTGGTTAGGTCCTTGTGGCACTAAGTCTATTGTGAAGATGCAGAAAGTGTTCCAGTAAATGTTAGGGTGATCTGAATTGTAACCACCCTTGATTTGCTATATCATGCTTCCAAAACCTGAGTGTAGGAGCATGTCTGCACTCTGCAAAGTATGCAATCTTTTCCATTTGTCAGAAGTTCATCAGGGACCAAATACAGGGCGGGGATTATAGGTTATTTATCAATTCCACTGAATTTGCTTCACTTGCATTAAGGGGCAAAGGCCATGTAGAATCAGATAGTACCGGAAGACTGACTACATTGTAAGCATCCAAGAACAACAGTATTGTCACTAAGGACTTAATAGAACTTTCAACTTCTCAACAATCTGGAACTAACCTTGAACCTCCTTTCAAGATTGAGCTCCTAGGAGCCCCTGCCTCCTTCTCCAGTCTCATTTCTTACCATATGTCCCTAGCTCACAGTGCTACAGCCCTCTCCTGTTTTTAGTTCCTAACACAATGATTCCCAGAGTGTTGCTCCTAAACCAGCAGCATCTGCATCTCCTGGAAGCTTATGAGAAAAACACTTTAAGGCTGTACCCAGACCTACTGACTGGGGGCAGAATTGAGGAATCTGAGTTGTAACAAGCCCTCCAGGTGGTTCAGATGCCTGCTCATATTCCTGGACCACTGCCTTAATACTTCATGCCCACCCCTATCTTCGAGTTCCTTTGCGCTTCCTGCTGGACCCTTGGCCTTAACTGTGCTTTCTCCAGATTCAAATGACTGTTTCATTTTTATTCTTTGAGTTTCAGCTCAAAATGAGCTTTCTCCAAACTATCCTACTTAAGGAAGCCCCCATTAGCAGAACTTTTACTCTTCATCATGTCTTCCTATTTACTTAACTAATAACAATTACGTGGACTGTAATTAAATTAATTTCTTTTAAATTGAAAGATAATAGTTGTTTATATTTATGGGATACAATGTTATGTTTTAATATATGCTTACAACACGGAATGGTAAATCAGGCTAATTAACAAATCAATCACCTCACATACTTAGCACTTTTTTGTGGTAAAAACATTTAACATCTATTCTTCTAATGATTTGAAATTTAAAATACGCTATTATTTGCTGTAGTCACCATTCTATGCAATAGATTACCAAAGCCTATTCCTCTTGTCTAATTGAAACTTTGTACCCATTGATCAACATCTCTTATTTTTCCATCCATCCCCTCCCCCCGCCTCCTATAGCCACTATTCTATTCTCTATTTCTATGAGTTCAAATTTCTTAGATTCCACATATAAGTGAGATCATGTGGTATCTGTCTTTCTGTGCCTGGCTTATTTCACTTGGCATAATATCCTCCGGGTTCATCCATGTTGTTGCAAATAAGAGAATTTCCAGCCTTTTTTTCTTTTTTTTTCTTTTTTTTTTTTTTTTTTAAATGGAATCTTGCTCTGTCACCAGGCTGGAGTGCAGTGGCATGATCTCGGCTCACTGCAACCTCTGCATCCTGGGTTCAAGCAATTCTCCTGCCTCAGCCTCCCAAGTAGCTGGTACTACAGGCACACACCACCATGCCTGGCTAATTTTTGTATTTTTAGTAGAGATAGGGTTTCACCATGTTGGCCAGGATGGTCTCAGTCTCTTGACCTCGTGATCTACCTGCCTCGGCCTCCCAAAGTGCTGGGATTACAGGCATGAGCCACCACACCCAGCCTTCCCACTTTTTTTTAAGGCTGAATAAAACAATCTGTTAAGGGACTATTATCTAAAATATGTAAGAAACTCAAACAACTCAATAGTAAGAAAACAAATACCCCAATCAAAAAATGAGCAAATGTATTGCATCGTGTACATATACCACATTTTCTTTATCCATTCATCTGAGGATGAACACCCAGGTTTCTTCTAATTTTTAGCTATTGTGATTAATGCTGCAATGAACATGGGAATGCAGATATCTCTTTGGCGTACTGCCTTCAATTATTTTGGACTGAAACCCAGAAGCAGGATTGCTGAATCATATGGTAATTCTATTTTTAGTTTTCTGAGGAACCTCCATTCTGTTTTCCATAATGGTTATATTAATTTACATTCCCACCAAAAATGCACAAGTGTTCCCTTTTCTCCAAGCCTTTGCCAATACTTGTTGTTGTTGTTGTTTTTGTCTTTTTGATAGTAGCTATTTTAATAGGTGCAAGGTGATATCTCATCATGGTTTCAGTTTGCATTTTCCCAAAGATGAGTGATGTTGAGCATTTTTTTCATATATATGTTGGCCATCTGCATATCTTCTTTTAAGAAGTGTCTAGTTAGATTCTTTGCTCATTTTTTGATTGGGGTATTTGTTTTCTTATTTTGAGTTGTTTGTGTTTCTTATATATTTTGGATAATAGTGCCTTATCAGATATACACTTCACAAATATTTTCTCCCAATCTATGGGTTACTTCTTCACTCTATTAATTGTTTTCTTGATGTGCAGAACCTTTTTGGCTTCATGCAATCTCATTTGTTTATGTTGCCTGTGGTTTTGAAGTCACATCCAAGAAATCCTTGCCCAGAAACAATGCAATGGAGCACTTCCTGTACGTTTTCTTCTAGTAGTTTTATAGTTTCAGGTCTAACATTTGAATCTTTAATATGTTTTGAGATGATGTTTGTATATGGTATAAAAAGGGTACAATTTTATTTTTCTGCGTGTAAATATCCATTTTGTCCAATATCATTTATTGAAGAGACCATCCTTTCTCCATTGCATACTTGTGGCACCTTTGTTAAAAAAAAAATCAGTTAACCATAATGCATAAGTTTATTTTGGGGGTCTCTATCCTGTTCCACTGGTCAGTGCATCCGTTTTTTGTCAGAACTATTAAGTTCCTCACTGTCTTTCAAATCCTACTGGACCGTAAGCCTCTCAAGGGCAGAAGCCTTGTCTGTCTTGGTCACCTTTACATCTCTAATTTCTGATATTGTATTTGGTATAGCGTGAGGGTTCTATTCAAAATATTCAAAATATTATTGAATAAAAGAAAGAACTAAATAACAAAGAAAAAATAAAGAAATAAAGCCATTCATTTAGAATTTAAAGCAAAATGGTTCTTGTAAAAATTTATCCCTAGAATTTACCAATAAGAGCTCACATAAGTAATCTCTTACTTGAAACTGTTTTTATTTACATTTTTTTCTTAGGGTGGGTGGGGTGGTGGTATTTAATTGGCCGTGTGTCCTTTGATTTCAGACTCACCAGATGCTGACAAGAACTCTTTGGTATTCCCAAGCCCAAGTACAGTATGTAATAACTATTGAATGAATGAGAGTCTGGGCTAGACTCTAGAACAATTTCTAGATGATCATTTTGTGAGCTCCTATTCTTACTTCAACCTGTTTAAGTACATCCTTTCCTAAACAGAGCCTATTTTATGTCAATGTATTTAATGTATGCATTTCACATAGCAGTGTGTCAAAGAAATTAGAAAAACATGTCTTGGGGGAGAAAAACCAAAAGCTTCAACAGTGCTTCCCACTAAACATCTATTGATATAAAATAATCTTGTACAAATCAGAAAGAGGATATAACAATAGACACAGCTTACCTAGTGCTTATTATGAGCCAGACACTATACTAAATGCTTTTAAGATATTAATTCAATTAATCTTCATAAGCACATGATGAAGCAAATATAATTAAAAGTAGTAAAGAATCAGAGAAACAAATTATTTTCTCATAGGAGATCTCCATAATTTCAAATTTAAGTAATTTTTAAAATGTTGATTGAATCAAAAGGCAAAGACTTCAGAAAAGTAAACTGAGACACAGAAAAGTTGCATAATTTTCCCCAAAATCCATAGGTGGCAAGTGAGAGGGTGAGGTCTCAAACCCAAGCTTGCTAATTGTGCAGCCCACTCACCTAACCTCTCACGGATGTGTGTAAGCCAGAGTGGGGAATGTGCATGTGTGGTGTCATTGGATTAATAAGAGTAACTTAAGGTATTTCTGACCTACAACTGGGAAAAGATGACGTCTTGATGTAAGGATTTGTTTTTGTTTTTTACAAGGAAAACTTTCAAATACCATTTCAATTCAGTTAAACAGGAAGATCTCATTTTGTCCAATTTTATGAACAGAAATCTGTATCAAATGTTACGTTTATAAGCATGACAGACAATTCTGGGGACTTAATAATCATAATTTTTCATAAAACACTCTTCCAAACCAACATAAAATTCCAGACATTCTAAGACAGCACAAATTTGTTTAATTACATATTTATGAAGTCTTTTTTTATCATTGTCATTATTAATTATTAATATCTTAAAACATCCAAAGGCCTTAGGAAGTTCCTGTATAGGAATGGTATAAGTTATTTTTGCTCTTGATATGTGAATAACTCTCACGAAAATAGTCACATATCCCTTTGAGAAAAGATGGTGACTTTCTTTGTATACTACAGAAAGTGACAAGACAACAGAAATGTGTCTGGAAAGACTGAATAAGATGTCAATGGTGTTAGTACTTTGGTTTCTAATTTCCAGCCCTGCTTTTGGTTTGCTGGAAAACATGAAATTGCATCTCATTCCCTTATCATTTTATTTATCAGATAATTCTGATGGCTGCCAAAATTTCCTATCATTTTTCTTGATGGTGGGATTGTTCTTCTCATTAAGAATTGTCTGATACAACCATTTTATGCCTGTTACTGCTCTAATCCACCCTTACAGCACGTGTACACTGATTTAGTCAATTCCTCTTCATGGCCTAGAAAACCAAAGTTGATAGAGTATTTTTTATTGTTTGTAGGTCCTTGAAATAGACTTTCTTCCTAAAGCTCACAACACTAGTATCAGAATGCACTTTCCCTCTGTTATTGCCCAAATAAGACTTAACCAAACCTATGTCTCAAACACCCCAATTTGAAATTCATAAATAGTGCTAAAGCAGCACCACCTGGTTCTAGCCAGACAAGAAGTGGGTGGAGAAATGTAGGGTGCAGCAGGCAGAGGGTAAGGGAGAAAAGGAGAAGTGACAGGCCTGGAGGCCATATCAAGTTTGTCTTCTCAATGTCCATTCCTTTAGAGGGCCAAGGCTGGTGACCCAGGAGTGGGGACCAGGTGAGGCTGATCTATCAACATTCACTAACTTTAATCACAAGGAGTGAAGGGCTTAAGTCAAAGGGCTTAGACTCTATCGGTGTAACCTAAATGTGAAGTTATCATAGTAGAATTCCGTGTTAACCAAAGGGTTTGCCTGTCCCAACAAACCACAGCTTCCATGGGAAGGAGCATTATAAGAGTTGCTGATATTGTTGGCTGTGTCCCCACCCAAATCTCATCTTGAATTGTAGCTCCCTTAATTCCCACATGTTGTGGGAGGGGCCCGGTGGGAGGTAATTGAATCATGGGGGTAGGTCTTTCCCATGCTGTTCTCACGATAGTGAATAAGTCTCATGAGATCTGATGGGTTTATAAAGGGGAGTTCCCCTACACAAGTTCTCTCTTGCCTGCCTCCATGTAAGACGTGACTTTGCTCCTCGTTTGCCTTCTGCCATGATTGTGAGGCCTGCCCAGCCACATGGAACTATGAGTACATTAAGTCTCTTTTTCTTTATAAATTACTCAGTCTTGGGTATATTTTTATTAGCAGCATGAGAACAGAATAATACATGCCATGAACTGTCTAAAGAGATCTTCCAACTTTAGTTTAATTTTCTACCCCTGGTAAGTGCCTAATCTTTCTACTTTCACATTTTAAAATTTACATTGTTTTATAGGAAAAAAATGAGTGAACAGTAGTTGGGTGGAAGGAAAAAAGTACAGAAAAAAGATGAATATACATAGATTTATGTATATGTGTGTGTATTTATATAAGTCTCATATAAATAAGTCTATAGAAACCCTACAGGGAAATTTTTGAAAATGCAAATGGATTATGAAAGACTCTTACTGCCTACCTGAGCAATCTATAGTCTCGACTGCTAAAATATAAAAATTAAAGAGTTGAGAGTCTTCAGGAGAATGTGATGGTTAATTTTATGTGTCAAAATGACTGAGGTAAGGGATGCCCAGATACCTGGTCATTATATATAATAATAATGAAATATTATTTCCAGGTATGTCTTTGAGGGTATTTACAAATGAGATTAGCATTTTAACTGGTGAAGAGAATAAAGCAGATGGTCCCCAGTGTGAGTAGGCATCATCCAATCTGTTGTGGTCCTATTCTGAATAGAAGAAAAAGGCAGAGGAAGGAGGAATTCGCTTTCTTTGCTTGAGGTGAGATAGCCATATTCTCTAGCCCTCAGACATTGGACACTTGTGCTCCTGGTTCTTGGGCTTTTCGAATCAGAGCAGAACTTACACTATCATGCCACTTCTGCCCCTGCCACCCCCATTCCCAGGGCTTTAGAATCCAACTGTTTTATTCTCCAGCATACAGACAGCGGACTGTGGAGTTTCTTGGCCTCCATAATCATGTGAGCCAATTCCTATTTTTATACATATGTATATAAATAATATATATTTTATATAATATATTATATATAAGATGTATATATCTAAATAATATATATTTTATATATTATATATAAGATGCATATATCCTATATATGATATATATGATACCTCTCTGGAGAACCCTAACTAATACAGAGGGTATTCCTGATAATAAGGATAGCCTATTTACTTAGCTGAATATATGTCTTGGACCCTTCAGCAAAGCTACTTCCATAGCTTTCAGAGTATTTCTAAATTTACAGTGTTGAGTCCCCTTGGCTTTTCTGAAGAGAGTCATTTACAGACAACATAAGATCTATTCATTTTAACTGGAGGAAGCCAAATTCACTTATATTTAGCTTTAAAATAAGAAAGCAATGATCACTTAAAAATGTCAAGTGAATCCACTGAGACGCGAATACTCTAGGTCACATTTTATAGAACATAAGGCAATGCCAGAGAATAGGGTCCTAAATCTTATTATAAAATCTCATTGTCAGAGAGACCTAAGGGTGGCTGTATTCCCAAGATCATGCTTTTTGTCTTGAAGTCAGGACCTATGCCTTACCAAAGCTAAGCAAGGCATCAAAACCACTCTTCTCAAGCATGTTCAGATGCTTATGGCTTCCTCTTCTCAAACAGAGGTTTTAAAAAGGTCACATGATTAGAGTGATCAGTGAAAAAGACAAAGAATAAAATCTAACATTTGGAGCAGTTTCACTAACACCCTTTTCTCTTCAACCACTTCAACCCTCTCATAATACGTTGGGTATAAAATTGGTTATGGCCATGGATGGGAATTGGTTGACTGAGATGGCTTCATGGTATCTTTATCCCCAGTGGCCTTTTATTGGTGATATATCACTAGTAAATGTTTAACAACCAGCACCCCAGGAAAAGGAAAATAAAACTGATTTGTAACATGTGTTGGTTTTATTAGTACTCCCCTCATAGCCAATTTCAAGCCATAACATGTTGCCTCATGTAAACTGGCTTACAAAATTCCTAGAAATTCCTGTGCCAGTGCCAGCTCTAGCACAGCACTGCTCTTGATGGTCAATGATCTAAAAAGAATAATTACAGCTTAAGAGTAAAGTGATTTACCCACAGCACCTTCCATGACAGTAGAGAGGTGGGAGTTGATACTTGCTGCAGGTAGGGTATTTGTAAGAGTGAGAGGATGGCTGGTAGCATGAAGCCTTCTTCCTCAACCCACCCTATTTTCATGGGATGCCTGGGTCACAAAGGTCAAATAACTCTTTTCAAAGTGATACACAATCCCTCATAAGTCAATGATTCTTTAGAAAATGTAAACTGAGGAGTCTGTCTGCTTTTCCTTGTTTTCTAGGCACTGATGTAGGGGTCTGCTGGGGCAGTGGAATATACTTTAAAAGAGAGAGAGAAGGAGTTTCAAAGCCCAGTCTCAACAACAACAAAAAAAGAGGTAATTTAAAATACTTTGCTCTAACATTGTGCAAATATTATCTAGAACTTTTCGAAATGGTGTTGATATGAAAACCATCTACCATAAAGTCAGCATGGAGGACACTCTCAGATACTCTCTGGTCATCTATGTACTCTTTCTGCTTTGGAAATAAGCAAACCCAGACTCACACCATACGGCATAATAGGCGAAAGGTCATGGGCTTTAAAATCCAGTTTAATCACTTACTAGTAATGTGACCTTGGGCTGGTGATATTAAACTCTAAACCTCAGTGTCCCCATCTGTATAAGGGAGATATGTATTTCTACTGCATCATATGGTGTGAAGATTAAATGAAAGAACATATGCAAGACCTATAAAGTCACCTATGAAACAGACAACAGTATCTATCAGCTAAGGTTGTAGTCACAATGGAGATACAACCTGCCAAGTCCTTAGTGTATGCCTTCATCAAGGAGACTCTCAATAAAGATCATCAGCAATTCTGCTAGAAAGGACAATAATCAGGTTTCCTCCTCCCACTTAAGTTGGGTGTACAGTTGATGAGGAGTCCAGAAACAAGATGCATTTTGGTAGTGTGCCACACTGACACAGTTGTGTTGTACGCCTCTCTCGTATAATGTGGAGGAAAAGGACACAAGAACAATAATGGGAAGTTCACTGCAATTTATGTCTCTCTTATTATTTTCCACAATAGAAAGCATTTTGAGGAACTTATAGTAGGTCAAGTACTATATTTTATAACAAAAAATACAATGGAGAATGTGATACAATCTTCAGTTTCGGAGAAAATGAGGTGGAGGACAATATTCATCATAGTAAAGACAGTTGGGGAATTAAAATTTCCTTTACCTAACTAAAGGTGTTTGACTAATTCTAACTCTGTTCTAAAATGCCTTTAAAGAATCTTGAGATTTCCAAGGCATCTGAACCCAATACATTGATTGACTTTCTCAAAATAGCCAGCACTTAGCACCCAGATCCAATGGATCCTGGATCCCCTGACCACGTGTTCACCATCTGGGCAGAGGGACACCTTACATTTCTAGAAAAAAAGTCATTAAACATCAGAAATAAAACCTGCTAAGAGAAGTTATAATTAAAGATGGAATAGGAAGATTCTAATTAATCACCTAATACAAAAAAGAGTTATTCTTTTATTTCTCATAATTTATGTCATCTGCCTCACACCAAACAGGTCAATCTTAATATTTCTTTTATAGTTCTGCAGCTCCTTTCTTCCATGAATAGGCTTTTAGGAAATCTCTTCCTTTCCACTAATACCCTTCTTAAAAACAAAAAGGAATTAGAAAGTTACTTCTGAATGTTCTGTAGAAGCTGTCATTCTGTCCAAGGTACACTGATACAAAGACTGCACTGCTCAGCAAGGCAACCTCCCTCCCGTGGATCACAGGAGTACCGTGGAGAGCTCCTGTCTCCTGTGTTGACCTAGAGAGATGTAGATTCTGGCCTGAAACCAGGAAAGTCGGTAAACTTCTTTCTTGATATCTTTTGTCATAATGTGAAAATACATGTGCTACTAACCAGAATAACAGTGTAGCAGTGGAGAGGGTGTGTGCAGCAAACAGGAGAAAGAGTTCACTTTCTTTCTTGCTCTTTGAGGTTTCATGTGAAAGGGAAACTTGTTTACCTCCTTGACCAAGTCAAGTAACAGGCACTGGGGGCATGTCTCTTCCCTCTGTCTTGGAATATGCTGCTTCACTCCTGAATCTGCTCTCTGTTTCTAGTTTCTGTCTGCATCATCCTTTCTCCATTCTAGTGTCAGAGTGATCCTGATAAAATGAAAATCCAACCCAAATCTCTGTCCTCCTCACAGCATCCTTGGGATAAAGTCCAACTCCTTACAGGAAAAGTCTGTCATTACCTGTCTCTATCCTACCACTCCCATTTCATGTGCTATCATATCCCCCCACACACATTATTTCAGCCACATTGAGCTTCTTGTAGATTCCCAATTAAGCCAAGCTCTCGAATGTGCTTCCATCGTTCATCCATCTAAAACATACTTGTCCTTCAGACTCAGCTCAAACTCTGTCTGAGAAGATATCCCCTGAGCACTCCCCATGACCACCATGACCCTACACGATCCAGTGTGTTCCTTCATGCTCACATGGCAGGACGCATGTCTCTAGGATAGGAGTTTTCACTTTGCATTGTAATTATTGGCTGATCATCTGTGGAATTCTTTGAAGTTAGAGACTGCATCTCATCTGCAGTATCCTAGCATCCCCAGTACCTAGTCCCTGATACACAGGCATAGCTGACACTAACTTCCTGTTAAATTCAACAACACATTCACTGGAGAAGTTAAAAATTTTTAAATAAAAAATAAAACACTACCCCAACCACACAATAACAAGAGGACTTAAGCTGTTGACTCATCTAGACTCATTACGTCACTTCTTACACCTCATTGTTATATTTCCTTCTGAATACATTTTTGTCTAGGCTTCCAACTGCCTCATTTCCTTGTCATATATCTTCACTACCCTTCATACTTCATGGTAATTAGTACTATCTATACTCACAGGTTGTAGCTGAAAAAGCCAGCTTGTGAGTAATAGTCCACACCCCAATGTTAGGAAACAAAAAACTAAAAGCTTTTCCTATAAAACAGGGAAAGAGTAAGACGGCCCCAAATAATCGAAAAAAAAAGCAGCTCCTGCCACAAACAAAGAGACTGTCAAGTCATTACAAGAATGGAGGAAAGTTCGTGCCAATAAAGTAATAATGTTAAAACCATATTGATGCCTAGACAGCTTCCATAAAAGGAAACATCAATATATTCCAAACCACTATGTCCCTAAATCTGTATCTACGCTTTGGTAAACAATTTACTTTAGGCATAGAAATCAATGACTCACTTCTCCCTACAAACCATTATTCCTTTGGATGAGAACTTTCAGATTATTTTGCCATGTCCAGATTTTCTAGGTGAGAGAATATGCTAAGCTCTGGGAATTCAAAATCCATATAGTTCTTACCCTGCGTGATAGTAAAGTCAGGGAAGAGATGTAGTTGTCTAGTTTAATCCGCTAAATCCAGTCCTAAGGAGCTTCAATCTCCTTGGATTGTCTTGCATTCAGATTGAGTCCTGCCCCCTTCTCTCTCTCTTCCATTTACAGAGAAATACATAGTGGATCTTTCTTGACAATTAAACATAATGTCTAAAACAACAGTATTGCCACAAGGGCCCTCTATACTTTGAAACTGAAAGCTATTGTAAAGCTTCCTCTGACTTTAAGTCCTAACTAGTGTATATTCTTTTATTTAATTTAAATATATATTAAAATATATGTGAATCTGCTAAGAGGCGATAAAGAAAAACAAAGTTATGGTAAAATAGTGACAGAGTCTTCATTGGTGGATGTATTCTGGATAGATAGGCGCTTGTACTGGTTAGCTACATGGCATATAACAAGAAAGTCACAGCAAAGTCAATGATCTTTTTAGATGAAAAGTAATTTTTTGAACGTTACCTTTGCCTTAACTACTTCTAACAATTTGGACTGACTGCAAACTCAGCAGAGGTCATGAGGCTCAGTCTCCTGCTTGACAATCAGCCAAAAGACACCTAAAATGCTTGTTCCTCCCTTGTTATTCTGAGACATAGCAGCATGGCACCATAGGATCAGTGGGCCATTACTGACTTTGTAAGATGCCTCTTTGAATAGTGGATGAAGTAGTTTCTGCAATAGATATTCACTAACATCTCACATGTGGTATTTTATAGGGTATTCAGGATTAAAATGACAGATCATCTTCTTCCTCAAGAGTACTTTTTTCCTGCGATCACAAAACAGGAAATTAAAGTGCTCAACCAAAATCCCCAATAGAAAATATAAATCTCTGAAACATTTTAATGACATTAGTGTCTCCCAAATGCCCAGAAATATTTAAAACTTTAAAACTAGTTAAGAGAAAATGACATTCTCTTTCATAAAGCCCAAGTACTTAAATGTCCTGCTCCAGGAAATGACCTCCCTGATCCAGAAAATAATAACTTAAGGCATAAGGGCTGGCCTTGGCCTTTTTTTTCCTTCCAAGTTCTTTTTTCTATGTATGGTGAATAAATTAAGAGGAGCCAACCCCTCCATGGCAACTACTTGGAGAGGTATTTATCATTTCCAGAGTAAATTAATATGTTTATGTATAGTCACGGTATGGGATGCTGTCAAACCTCTTTGGTACCCCCCAAAATGGAATCATGTTTCTTCCCCCATGAGGTCTCCTCTTGATAGCTATTTTTCATGCATTGATCTGGGTTATCTGTCACCCTTTCAGAAGAACACAGGGTTCAGCCACCTCCCCACAATTGCTGCTGTCCAAGAGGTGTGACAGCTTGAAGATCTCTAAAGAAAAGATACCAAGGGTTACACAGGGCATCTTTCAGTCCAAAGTGGTAATGGGAACAAGAACCTTCTCTACCTTGCAGGTCAGCTTTGGTCAACGCAACTTTGTTAGCAAAAGAACAGAAAAAGCGAAAACAATAACCAGAGGTTAGTAAGAGGTAGAATAAACCAGGATAACATTACAGAAATGAAAACGCAATCTGCATAACCATCACTCAGACAGACAATTGAAATGCTCTACAGGTTCACCAGAGACAGCAAAGATGGGGTTGGGGAGTAGGGCAGAGGGGGACGCGCAGACCAGGGACAGAGCCGGCCTCCTCAGAGCCAAGTCAGCAGAGCAGGGCAGGGGCGCATCAGACTTGACAAAGCACAGGCAACGGGCAACAAGGGCAACAAGAGCTTTCTCACATCCACACAGCCAACCTCAGGGAGTGCACGGTCAGACTGAAAGACACGTGTGTGCAATCAGATGGAGCCCATAGAAATACTTCTAAACATTAGGAGTTCAGCATGAAAGAGTCACTCGAGTGCACCCCTTGTGCCCTCTTGCAAATGCCACCCAGGAATTTGGCACTGGAATTAGACATTTGGATCACGGTGATTTGGGAACACCAAAAAGCTCAATTTGTTTAATTTTAAAAATATATCCAAACCCAAATAGTTGCAGGCAAAAGGGCACCAGACTAATGTCATTTTTATTTATTCGTGCCAGTTTCAAAACAAAGCACGTGTATTTCTTTCAGATGTTTATCATCTGCAATTGTGAAACCACATTTCTAGCTGATCATGCCTTGGCCTCTGCAGCAAAGCTGGCCTCAATATAGGAAGATACATTTACCAGCCACATATTAAATCAGGTATGATTTTTTTTAAAACCCTAGCTTAAATTGAGAGGTATCAAGTTACAACTAAATGTTGACTAGGAGTTGCCCAGAAATTGCACTTAATATCTAAATTATACACTTTGCATCTATCAGAGACATAAAATCAAATACTAGTTTCAAGATTTTTTTCTTTTTTGCTACTCATACTTGAGAGCTGAAGAGTACTAAATTAGCAAGTTTTTAAATAATTTTGCTACCACTTTGGGAGGCCGAGGTGGGTGGATCACCTGAGATCAAGAGGTCGAGACCAGCCTGGCCAACATGGTAAAACCCCATCTCTACTAAAAACACAAAAATTAGCCAGGTATGGTGGTGGGCACCTGTAATCCCAGCTACTTGGGAGGCTGAGGCAGCAGATTCGCTTGAAGCTGGGAGGTGGAGGTTGCAGTGAGCCGAGATCACGCCACTGCACTCCAGCCTGGGCAACAAGAGCGAAACTCCGTCTCACTCACTCACTCACTCAATCAATAAAATAAATAAAAATAATTTTGGACTCTTTTGCCTTTTATTTTACCTGCTGTCATGGGTCTGATATAATAGGGAAGGTAACACATTTACTACCTAGGGATCTTAAAGTGTCATTGTCAATGACTTTGATGGAAACATATATTAAATGTAGATAGATACAGATACTTATCTATCTGTGTGTGTGTGTGTATATATATATATATATGTTTATCTGTGTATTCTAGATTTGCTAGAATAAAACATATCTTGAAGAGATTCTGGTCTTAGTTCTTAGTTATAAAACCTCATCCCCTACTTGTTTACTGTTCTATGTAAAAGAAATGATAAATTAAGAAATTTGTTCTGTTTCCTGTGGTCCTCATACTACCTAATGCTCAAAGGCCTTCTTGGGGGTCTCATGCTCTACACAAGAGATTCAGAATAAAAATGATGCCTTTTTGCAGTGTCTCCAGTGTTTTGTGCTCTCCCTTTACCTCCCCACCATCTTACACAGAACCCTAAAATGCTCCTGGGATCTCTTGCAAGGGCTTATTCACAGTGGTACAAACTTCCAATGACAGTAATTTATGCCTTAACCCATTTTGGGCCATTTTTCCTGGCCACTTAGGCTAATTATCCAAGTCATTTGTGTACAATCAACAAGGACTTTCTTCCCTCAGCACTCACCCTCCACTTCATCCCACCCAGCGGGGTAGGCATAATGCTCAGTGGGTAACCGTTGTAATTATCTCCATGGCAATAGAGTGCAGTGCTATTAGGCTCATGGGACTCACCATAGATTCAGATGGTGGAGCCATCAAGCCACAATATCCGGCTTTGAACAATCAACCATACTCAGAGGAAGGTCGGAGCTCTCTGTAATGCATGTGATGAGTAATGCCAAACTGCACATAGAGCTGTAGATAGGGATAGGGACATTTTCCCCAACTCGTTATGTAATTTCTTTTTGCTGATGCTCTTACTGCTTCTCTTA
Organism: Homo sapiens; assembly: GCF_000001405.40. NCBI lineage: Eukaryota > Metazoa > Chordata > Mammalia > Primates > Hominidae > Homo > Homo sapiens. Next base: position 78,970,657 of record NC_000014.9, on the reverse strand, counting down.
AAACTCTCTTAAGTGAGGTCATTCTCCCTTTATATTATACATTTTAGTACCCTTTTATAAAGCTTAGACCTCCTTTTAATCCAATACTATAGCTTTATTTATTTACACCTTAATTTTTGTATTCTGTATACCTGTACTACCAATACAGTAGCCATTGACATGTGTATTGAGCACTTTAAATGCATGTAGCCCCTGGGTTGAGGTGTGCTGCAAGTATAAAATACAAACTCAAGTTTAGAGGCTTAATGTGAAAAAAAGTGCAAAATATTGATAATTTTATCTCTATTACATTCTGAAATAATATTTTGGGTATATTTAGTTAAATTGAATAAAATACAAAATTAAAATAAATTTGACCTGTTACTTTATACCTTTTTAAAATGTAGCTACTAGGAAATTTATAATTGCATGTGTTACATATATCTATTGGAAAACACTGACATAGAGTTAATGGATGATTCCTGTTAACTTTTAAATCTGAAGAACTGATGGCATAATAAAAATTCTGTAACATTTGACCAGTATCTTACGCTTTCTAATATGTGCTCTTATATTGTGATTTGACTTCATATGATTAATTATTCCAGGATAAATGGAATTACTGCCATTCTACAATCTTCTAAACACTATATACAATTTAATTCCAAATGCTACGTCTATTCCAGGATTGCCCTTTAATACACAAAAGAACTAAAAGCAAGCCAAGGAGACAAAAATCCCTGATTGAATGAAATTGTTCATTTCTAGGAGCAAAGTGGCTGCTTTAAGGGCTTAGTGATTCCCAACCTCCTGTCCCTTTATACACACACACACACACACACACACACACACACACACACACACTACATAGTACAAACACCATATTTGGCCAAGACAATTTAAGAAATATTTCTGGATAAAGGAAAAATGGAGTGGGTTATAGGAATGAACATTCCTATTACTAGTGCAAAATACAAAAATAACTCTTAGGCAAAGGGAAACAATTTCCATAACTCCAAGTCAGCCTGATAAGCTGACAGGAAGCTTTTATAAATGTGTGCTTTACGATGATGAGCTAACCCAGATGGAAGCTGTTTAAGAACAGAAGCGATACATGAAGTTGAACACAGAAGTGGAATGAACAGATTTGATGTGGTAAATTAACAACTGATACAAGGAAACACAATATATTGCGCAAACACAGGACCATAAGGCTCAACCAAAAGGCTCAAAAAGAAAAAAAGGAAATAATTACATAGATCCTTGGTCAGGCAACTTCTTTGCCTTTCAAGTTAGGTAACAGTCACGTTTTCAGCCAACCCAAGACTACTAGGGAAGGCTGAATGTGTTCACTTCTGCCATCTGCTGGTTAAAACTAGATTGTTTACACTGCAAAGAATTGTTGGATTCAGGAAGACCTGTAAAATTCATTTAGTATCTCAAGAGACAGTGGATCATCTACAGGAACAGGCTGAGCATGGTTTGTTGTGCTGCATGGGTAGACATGCAGTATTATTAGATGTTTGACATAAAATAATATTTGTAAACAATAAGCCTACCATTTATCGAGTACCTACTACATACCAGGCATTTTATGTGTATTTCTGATCTCCTTACATTCAAGGTAAGTTTTATTGCCCTGTTTTATAGGTAAGAAAGATATAGCTTACAGAAGTTACATCACCTTCCAAATGTCACATAGCTAACAAGAGCTACTACCTGGAGCTGAATCCAGGTATTTCTAATATCAAAGCCCATAATGTTCCAATATACCACACTAAAGAACTGCCTAGCAATGCCTGATAATTAGTAAGTACTTAGTAAATGTTAGTTCCCTTCCATCATCATGGCATTTGGACATCGTTTTCCTATTGCCTGCTAGATTTGCATTAAATAATGCAGTCACTATCAGCCAAAATAAGAAACATTTTATTAATTAGTGACATCTACATAAAATCTCTGGTTTTCCCCTCATCATGTATTAAAGTATAAATAAAAGTCTCCAGTGCTGTTTCAGCCATTCTGGAAGCCAAGGTACACATTGAAAGAAGCCTGATGTCAATGCCAGGGAAGTTTTTTATTTTATTTTATTTTTATTGGCAAGTATGTGATACTCAGAAAACATCTGCCAACATACATTCCTGGAGCCTGTGGCACATGTCTTGACATACTAAACCAGTGACAAGAGAACACTGATGGTGATGCAATGTCACGTGGCAAATGAGAATGAGACAGGACTGGTCAACTGAGGAAGGAGGCAGTGGCAGAGGCAGCAAAGAGGCTTGGTGCTTGCAACAAGGCTGTAGCTTAACAAGAAAAAAATAGGTTGTACCTTCACAGCCACGCTCGATCTGTCCGCTCCGATGAAGAGCATCATTGATGAGGTCTGGCAGGCGTCCATTCAAGTCCACTGATGCTAGACAGCCCTGAAAGCCATCTCGAGAGGCCACGAGCTTTGGGAGGTTGCTGTACATGCCTTGGGCCAGACCAGCCATATAGAGATCACCTGGAAAGGAAAGTAATTAGCAAAAGAGAATGAGTAAAGGATGTGGTGACCATGTCAACTAGTTTGATACACTTGAGATAATTCATCAGATAAGGAATAAGATAGCTGGGGGGGGGGGGGGGGGACAGCATAAATGAGATAAGCACCTGAGTTTCTACCCTGCAAAAAAAGGAAACCAATATTTATTATGTGTCATTCATTTTATATATACCATCTCAAAAATTTATTCATCATAGATGGAGTAAAGATTAACAATATTGTCAACAAAGCAAGCATTTATTGAGTGCTTTTTATGTGCTTGTTACCAATAATATGCTGAGGGATATACAGACATGCCATCAAAACTTCTCACGACCTATACAGAAACTAACAATTATTATCCTCATTTTGCAAAGAAAAGTAAATGTAAGCTGAACAAGGCTAAGACAGTTTACTGATGACACCAGACATTAAATGATTCAGCTGAAATTCCAAAGCCTATATTCCTTCCTCTGTATTACGGCCCTTCCCACACTTTGACACTCATCCTGTCATCTCTCAGCCCCCACAGCATGACATTCCCGAGGTTATCAGAGAAAATGAACCATTTCTTGATGAGTAGTCTAAGTAAAAACGGAAAAAATTGCATTACAGGATAATTCAACATTGTTAAAACAGGATATGGATGATGTATCAAAAATGCATGGCACTCTGAACCTGTGGTTTGCCTCTGGAAATAGTCTATCTATTGTAAGAAAAGCTCTATTAAAAACTAAATTTCTTTACAAGGTTTACCTTTCAAATCCAGATTTTTGGCACCATTGATAACCTGAGTGACCACTTTGGTGTCCACTTTCAGGCTATGAGTGTTACTATTGTCCCGAGTGATGACGACATTGTGCCACTGGTTGTCATTCAGGGGGCGGTCACTGTTGCCTTTGATCACATTGGGACCGTTTCCGAGGTCAAAAACGTAGTGTATATACCTAGGAAGAAAAAAAAAAAAAAACAATAATTGGAAAATCCCCGAAGTGGTTTAATGGCTATATGTGTGTAACTGACATAGTGGGCTTCAAATCCCCCATGCTAAACTGGCATAATGCAGGAATAATTTAAATCTTGATATGAGGTTACAAGAATAGTCAGATTTTATTCTATCATGCTTCACTATAATTCCATACTCATCGAGTCCACTTCATTAACACTACCTACTAATACTCTCCAGAGTCAAAGTAGCACAGGTTGTACACTACAAAACATAAGGGGGTGACTTTTAAATTCATCATCAACCATTAATCTGTTTTGGTTTTTGTTTTGGTTTTTTGTTTTGACTATTTTCTAATACATGGTAGTAAAATGTCTTGAGGAAAGGGCAGCTTCTAAAAACTTGCATATATGGGCTAATGGTAGGATTTAAAATATTTATGTTTCATCTTTTGGTATAAATTGGGTGGTTGTAGTTAGTAATACTCAAGAATTAGATGCAATACAAATCATAGCCCTCTTTTGCAAAAATAAGCTTTTCTTCAATAGTTTTAAAGGGCTACATTTCATAGGAAAAAGTCTGTTAGTGTTGAGTTAGTGGAAGACCTTTAAATTAAATCATGAGCCTCTCTCCTTTCCAGACCTAATAATTTTATGGATCCATTTAATCAAGGAAGATGCGAGAATGTGTCAGGAATGGAGGGTAGGGAGTAGAATAGACAAGTTATTTTTATGTCCATATTTTACGTAGAGCTTCAGTAGATTAAAGGTGTCCAACATAAGTCGTGATCCCTTCTACTTACCCCTTGACAAGCTCGACTGCAATGAAGTCATTGCCATCACCACTATTGAAGAGAATGAAGCCATCTGGTGAGGTGGTCTTGAACTGGAAGAAGAGGTGCATGGAGGTGTAAGCCTGAAGAGTGGCAAGGCTCAGGTAGCTGCTCTTGGTCTTAAAGGTGACAGGGTCAGCGATGATGTTCCTCAGTCCAAAACGAGCCTTCAGCTCACAATAATCAATGTCACCATTTTTGCACAAGTCAATGTAGAGAAGGCCATTAAACATGAGGCTCTGCAGATGGCCAATAAAGCTGGAGGGGACAACGGAGATGTAGCGTTTCTCAGTCATGATTCCCGTTTCAATGTTGTGGAACTCCAAACGGGTATGGTCTCCCACCATTGTACCTGTGAAAATTGTAAATGAGGTACAAACAGAAAAGTTACCATCATTTATCACAGCACCCTCAAGTATATTTTTTGGGTGTAACCTGTTTCCACACAGAATATTCAGCTTTCTTGGGTGAGTTCAAGAAAACCAAATATTCAATATGGTAGATACCTTACTTGGCCTCAATCAGGCATTGCCCAAATTACATGCTGTCACGCAGCTGCTCAGCACGGCTCATCATATAAGGGGAAATATGAGGTCATGAGTAACCCAGGCTAAAGGATAAAACTATTGATATTCTCCATTCAGGAGAATCACTGGACACTAATACACACTATAAGAAGAAAGGCCTTTGTTGCTCTGACCCTTGTAAAGACACAACACACAAGTCTTGGGCATCACTACCAAGTATTTTTTCTCGTAATAACTCTCCACTTAGTACTCGTGGGAAGGATTCTATTATAGACTTATCAGTTGAGTTTACCTGCCCAGCAACTGTTACTTTATCTTATAATAACACGTAATTTTTCTTTAGGAAGCTACCCACCCCTCTTGACCTTTCAACCACCTGGACTGGATAAAGTTGACCCTAATCAAGCTACTCAGCCTAGACCACTCAATGTACTTTACCCCCCTAACTGTCACAGACTTTGGACTACAGACTTAAAAAGCGGTCATTACACTTTAGGGTGTATCAGAATCACCTGGGGGGCTTAGGCCCTCAGAGTTTAGAATTCAAAAGTCTGGGGTGAGGCCTGAGAATCTGCATTTCTAACAAGTTTCACAGTGATGCTCTTGTGGCTGATTTAGGGACCACCCTTAGAACTGGCAACAACCCAAGCCATCCCGGCCACACTCAGTTCCAGAGCTCTTGCTGGTACACTTAGGAAAGAGGATTCTTTGCAAGCAAGGACTGCTGGAGGGGTAAGAAGAAAGCTTTGAGTCCCTAGAGGCTATAAGAAAATCAGAGGGATCAGAGGACTAGCAACCCAGAAGACAATTACCAAATGAAGAGAATCATCTGTGCTGTCCTTTGAGACTCTGGATCAAGCCAGGCACCTCCCGGCTTTTTCAAACTGTGTGGCAATAGACTCCCTTTCATGCTTAAAGCGTTTGAGTTGGGTTTCTGACATTCACAACGGAAATATCTTCAGCTGTTACAAATGAACTATTTAGAACTTGTATTACCTATTTTACCTAGAAGTGGTGAGTGACTAGGGCAGAGGGGATAAGGAGGGCTTGAAAAAAAAATACAAAGAGACTGGAAATTTTAATAACAAAATAAAGAAAAACATCATTAATGTGGCCAGAGTAGAAATTGGCTTCCTCAACATTTATATAGAAAAATCATGTTAAAACATAACAAACCATGTTCTACTGCCAAGCATTAGAGGGGGAATTCTTTCTTCCTGTCCTCTCTTGTTACCTTCTACATTGAAAAAACTCCATTAGCAAGACTGATAGCATCTCTTTATTTCCTCTTTAACAACTTTCCTGAAGAAGTGACATAATCAGAAATATTAAGGATGATCTGCAAAGAGAAGCTGTGTATGCTTAGCTCAGCCCCTAACACCTCCTGTTTCTCTTTGCTGGAGCAAGCTGCCTTCAGAAATGTCCATTCTACTGCATGCATCCATAGAATGGGTGTTACAGGAGCAAGCCTTGCTTCCACAAAGGATGTCTGCCCAGTTCTGAACTACTATTCAAGTGGGCAGTTCTGTCTAATTCTGAAGTTCAGTGGGTGTAAGCAATATTATTGTGTGTTATTACTAATTAAAATGATATTTGCCTTCCATCCTCATTGCAATATTTTCTCTATTGGCTCAGAATTACAGTGACAAAAAAAGGGAGGATTGTATTTTCTTAGGTCTCTTAAACTTCAGTATCTGGGAGACTAAACCAGATCATACCCTTAAGTGCTCAATATTGGTTTTATCTCTTTGGGAAAAAACTCAGACCTAATTTAAAGAATTGGCTGGAGACAGTGGCTCATGCCTGTAATCCCAGCACTTTGGGAGGCCGAGACAGAAAGATTACTTGAGGCTAGGAGTTCAAGACCAGCCTGGGCAATATAGCAAGACCCAGTCTCTACAAATTAAAAAAAAAATATTAGCCAGGCATAGAGGTATGTACCTATAGTGCTAACTATTCAGGAGGCTAAGGTAGGAGGATCACTGGAGCCCAGGAGTTTGAGGCTGCACTCCAGCCTAGGTAACACAGCGAGATGCTGTCTCTAAAAAAATAAAAATAAAATTTCTTATATTCCCTATAAGCACAAAAATTAGATTTACATGTTATGAGCTTCTATGCAGTGTTTTGACAACTAGTGACAAATCACTCTCTTAGTATAAGAAAAAAAGATGTTGGTTAACTTAAATATAAAAATCAAAATGCAACATAAATCTGCTAACAAATAACTAGGAAATAAAATTGCTTAGTGTTAAAAATCAGACAGGCTGTGAAAATACAAAGCAACATAATCTAAATTTGCATGCTCTAAATTAATAAAGTGACTGAAAGAAACATCTACTGTCAAATTGGCTATAGCTACTCCTACCAGGAAGGGGAGCTGGGCTGGAAAATGATGGGGAGGGGGAGTCATAGTCAATATCCACAGAAACAGAGAAACTGAACTATGATGATGCTGCTAGTCATGCTAATTCTTATTTTACAAAGAAAAAATCTAAGATGAGAACTAAGAAGTCAGAATGGGGAATCTCTGGTGAAGATTGAGGTTCCAAAAGGAATCTGAAGAAACAATTTTAAAGTCAAGTTGAGAACTTTCAGAGAAATTCTGGATGAATTGATCTCCAGGATTGAGGGGTTGGGATATTCTGCTCACTAGAAAATTAATTTTTCATAGCAAAAAAAAAAGTGTTTATTGAGATAGCAGAGAGACTGAGCGTGGATGTGGATAAGTACAAGAAGTGAAGTTAATAGTGGATTTAGGAGCTTAGCCCAGGAACACAAACTGGGAGTTCAGGATGACTCACACAGGAGCCTCAACTAAAAGTTGGTGAGGGGAGGGGGAGAAGGCCATGTGAGATCAAATTAGAAAAGGAATTGGCTTGGGAGGTCGAGGTGGGTGGATCACGAGGTCAGGAGATCGAGACCATCCTGGCTAACATGGTGAAAACCCGTCTTTACTAAAAATACAAAAATTAGCCTGGCGTGGTGGCACACGCCTGTAGTCCCAGCTACTTGGGAGGCTGAGGCAGAAGAACTGCTTGAACCCAGGAGGCAGAGGCTGCAGTGAGTCGACATCATGCCACCGCACTCCAGCCTGGGTGACAAAGCAAGAGTCCGTCTCAAAAAAAAAGAAAGAAAGAAAAAGGAAAGAAAAAGAATTGGCTTCACTGTGTGCTAAACGAATTTACTCCTTTGTTGATGAAGACTTCAAAAAATAAGTATATTATTGCACCTGTGCAAAGCATGAGAGATGCTGAAAGTTTGAAACCTGTGCCAAACCAACCAAATATTTTTTTTTTAATCTATGTGTCATTTAATCAATAGTAGTGATGGAAACCTTTCACTCATCTCCTCTGAATGCTGTCTGCAAACTGAACCTCCTTTCTACTTAAGGGGCAAATATATTCATACCTCACAGCCGCTTCTTTCAAACTTCAGGGGAAAGAGAAGTAACTGGGGAGAAAGATAACAAGCCAAAACCAAGACTACTGAAAATTCCATATAAGGCAAGCACTGTGCTAAATACTGCATAATCACTATGAAATGTCATTATCACAATAAAATTGTAGAGAAGTATCTTTCTCTTGCTTTAGAGGTTAGGACATTTAGCTTGCAGAGGTTAAGCAGTTTGATCAAGATTCATGCAGGTGGTAAATGGTAGACCCCTACATTGAACTCAGGTGTGCTAATTCCAAAGCCCATATCTTTACTAGTACAATGAACTGTCTTTGGAAAAAAGGTTTTACTTATTCCTCACATCATTGCCCAAGAAAAGCAGTAGGTAGAATTTAACTGGTGAAATTTCCATGTAGAAGCTGTTCTAAGGAGTTTGTACTTCTTCCCTATGGCCCAGTATCAGAATGTCACTCCATCTAATTCATGGGTAATATATCCAGCACCCTCCCTAAAGCAGCATTGTTGCCTTGCCTCCTTGTCACACATTCACTTCCATATTGCACTGATGGCCAACAAGCAGTCTACAAACCAGCTCTTAGAGTGACGAAGGACATATAGTTATGGAAAATTCTGGCCAGGTTCAAGCTGTAGCTTCCTATTCCTATGAAGCAATAGCATATAGTGGATGAGCATGGAGAGTCCAGGGCTGTACTGCCTGACTTTGCATTCTGCTTCCAAGACTTCTTCACTGGGTTACCTTGGGGGAGTTACTGAATTTTTCTATGCCTCAGATCCCCATCTGTAAAACGGATATGAAGTTAGCAGGGTTAAACGTATCAACACACGTAAAGTTTTTAATAGAGTGCCTATGGCTTAAACCGTGCGCTATTACTAATTATGCTGCATTCATTTCTCTCCCTTCCTCCGAAATGATTGAATCATGTTGTGGTCATTTCACTTACTGTTTTTCTCTTTTTTTGTGTGAGAATGTGGGCTCTTTTTAAGTAGAGGCCACCTCTTGTGTCTTCTATATGTCCCCCAGTGGCTACCAGAGGGGTCTGAGCACAGCCAGCATTCCTAACTTCTGGGGGGAGGGGCTTGTATTTGAGACATTTGCTTTGGGGTCAAGGTTTGGGTCCTCACCATTTCCACACATGAGGTTCCTGGTCAAAACTAAGAGCTCAGCAAAAAAGAATAATAATGGGAAACGCTGAGAGGAAGCAAATTGACCTTTCATGGCCCTTAGACGTGGGGAGAGAAGTTAAGAAAACGAAGGCTTACAGAGTACCAGTCAAGAATCTTCATATTTTGCCCATAATTCCCTAGCTCTACTGGTCCCAAATCCTTTTCTCCATAATGTCAGCATTTTTTAAAAGTGTGTAAGTATGTGGTATAAAATACTTCAGTAAAAAAAGTTTCTGGAACCAAAAAAAAAAAAAAAAAATTAGCAAATACTGCATACTTATCAATGATTTGCAATGTACATTAGCTTATTAAAGTCTCCTAATAAGCCTGGCAATAAAGAACTCCATTTCATTTTGTTTGACCGCACACTCCTCAATCCTATTTTGTCAAGTTTTTAAAAATTACTATGAGAAATACATTTTAAATGGAAAATTTTGCAAAATGACTTTTTACAGCTTGGTGCTATACATGCTATGTAGGTAAGGACAGGAAAAGTCAACAAGAACCAGTGTAGTCAAATTTTTCTACTAGCAAGGGCAAGTTTTTGTACTAGCAAGAAGTTCTAGGCAGAGGAGGCAGTTCATGCAGCATTAGGCCCCAATTCTGAGGAGTATAACTCAAGTTATGCTTGGTATAGTAATGTATTCTTAATAATAGAAACATAGATCAATCAATTATTATTAACTGTCACCCGAACTTAATGCTTTTCCAAGAACACAATCACATTACAATAAATGATAAACACAAGGTTGAGGAATATTTCTATCCTTGCTTTTGATTTCTTGTGAGCCAGACCTATTCTTTACATCATTTCTATAAACTAGCTGAAATTGGACACACTAGGGGGGCCTTAAAGAACATTAAAGGGATTACTAAATAAGCCAATGAGATACTACTTAATAACTTGAGGACTGTGGGTATTTTAGTTTCATTGCCTGATTTTATGACTTCTGTGAACTAAAATTAAAATTTCCCAACCCCTTATCACTATAAAAAGCAACCCAAGATTGTAACTCATAAGCAAAACAGCACTTTTCCCCTCTCAAATTTCTTTATCCTTCTGGCTGCTTTCTTCCATCAGCAGTGAAGTTCGGGGGGTTGGGGGGACACGTCTGAAAATGAAAGCGTTTCATTAATTTCAAAAAATCAAATTACTGGATAATGGCATTTCGTGACTTGGCCCTGCTTTTTAATTATTAGTGGTAAAAGAAAGTGCAATTTACAAATAGCTTTATTCCAAAGTTTTCATAAAAGAATAATGACTGAGAGAGACACATTATAGTACCCTCAGCTCTGTAGTTCTTTATGACTATACTTTTGGAGCATTTATTTTCCAGGGAAAATGAAACGAACTCACTGTCAGGAGAGATCAGGGTGAGGTCGCCATCTAGTGGCTGCTTTTCAGAAGCGGCTGTGAATCCCATCACCCTTCAGAGACAAGCCCAGAGGAGTGAGCAACAGATGTGTGACTTATCCTTTGCAGGATCCAGATGCACCAACAGTTCATACAGTTCTTGAATAATTAATTCAGGTTGGCTGCGGGCGCTAAATAGTGTAACCATTTGTACATCTCTTTTAAAATGTTCATTTCAGAATGCAAATTTATGCTCCAGGCACGTAGACCAGGAACTTCACCTCCCGCTTCTGAGTTATGTCTATGTGTAATCGAAGTGTTTTGGGTAATTGTTGTGGTGGTTCTGTTTGTCTTTGTTTTTGTGAGGGAGAGGTCAAGTGTTGTGGCCTACCTCCTGTAAGTTTCTTAGGAGACTTTAATAAGCTAATGCATTCCCTACCTCACTCCAACCCATTCCATTATATTTTTCCCATATTGTAAGATAAATTATTTTCTTATGATGGATTTTGAAGTACAGCAAGCAGAATGATTTTGTGGAATCACACTGACATGGATTTGGAGCTTAATTATACAACGCTCTCAAAGTTTTATGCTTCCTTTAAATGGCATTAAGAACACTTACCTTTAAAGGCTATAGTGAATGATAGAAGATTAAAGGAGCTGATATGCTTAACACAGCTAACAGTTTCTAATGCCTACTGGGCACTGGATATGTGCCTAGACGCTCTTCCTTAATCCACAGGCTATCCTTCTCTACACACACACACCTGTACATGCACGTACATATCTTACTATATTTCCTGATTCCAGAAGTATAGAAACTCAGGCTCATGAATATAAAATTAAATTATAAGACCCCAAATTACAGAATATTCATGCTGGAAAGGCCATAGAAATAATAGAATATCAATTTTAAAAATGAGGAAATTAGGAAAAAGAGGTTTAGTATATCTATCTCAAAGGCATAAAATATTTTAGTGGCAATGATTATATTAGACCCCCAGGGCTACTGACTGTCTTATTCACAGAAGAAACCATGGAGATGGCTTAGGCCACTGACTGCATTTGACAAGGCCCAGGAATGTTAACTTTCCTAACGTCCTGCAAGTTAACGTCAGGGCCCAGATCTGATGGCAACAGTGTTTCATGTAATACCCCATGCTGCCCCAAATCTTCTTTCCCATATGGATAAGAATTCTGCTTCATAGATGTGTCCTGCTCTAGAATATCAGAGAGGGAAGACTTATAAGATATAGCATGTAAGGCCTGGCGCGATGGCTCACGCCTGTAATCCCAGCACTTTGGGAGGCCGAGGCGGGTGGATCAGGAGGTCAGGAGATGGAGACCATCCTGGCTAACACGGTGAAACGCCATCTCTACTAAAAATACAAAAAATTAGCCAGGCGTGGTGGCAGGCACCTGTAGTCCCAGCTACTCGGGAGGCTGAGGCAGGAGAATGGCGTGAACCCGGGAGGCAGAGCTTGCAGTGAGCCAAGATCGCGCCACTGCACTCCAGCCTGGGCGACAGAGCAAGACTGTCTTAAAAAAAAAAAAAAGAAAGAAAGAAAAAAAAGATATAGCATGTAAAATGGCACTTGATGATACCCTCTTTCTTGTACCTCAGCCTTCATAAATTACATCCACCATCAAATTCAGTCTGAAGATCTACGTTTATAAACCACTCCTGATTTCTCCAGCCCAAATGGGTAATTCTCTCTTCTGATTGACAAATTGTAATCTCACCCATCAAAATTAGAATCTCATTATATATTTTGGTCCTGTTTTCAAATACCAGAGTCCTATCTGATCTGCTTAATTGGTTCATTATTTGAGGAAACAGGTAATCTCATCTGTTTCCATTTTATCTTCTGCAATTCTAGCATACTGCTGACATAGAACAGACTCTTAGGAAATACTTATTGATTGTGTGGAGCTCTGAATGTTTCTTTCCACATTCTAAATGTAAATCCCACCAGGCCAAAGATTTGCTTGTTTGTTCACCACTGTATTATCAGTGCCTTGTAAAATGGTGTGTAGTGCAGAATAGATAATTAATAATGATTAAATAAGTAATTAATTAAACCAAACCTTATTCAGCACCTTCTAAGTATCATGCACTGTTTTAGTACTTACTTTTACCTGTAATGTTCTGAATTTCTGGTTTGCCCATCTCTTCTACTAGAGAGTGATTCACTCACTGATGGAAGGAACTGGCATATGGGAGGATGATTGACATGTGATTTTTGAATGATTGAATAATAAAAGGATCTGTAGAACCCTACATCTGTTCTCCAGACACATACTCTACGCCTAAGGAGAGAGACCCATAAATATGTAGTTATAGTTAGTAGGTAATTTCCATAACGCACATTGATGAAAAGGTATTGTAAAATACAGAGGAAGACCTTCTTAGCCTTGCCTGAGTTTGTCAACAGAAAACATGATTTGTGACTTCTACTATGCAAAATAAAAGGTTTTGCAAAACACTGTTTGCTCACTCAGTGACTGAGAGGACTGAGAGAAAAGACAGACGAATTTCACCATAGTCATACTCACCCTCAGCCACATCATCATCCACGGTTAACTTAAGGCTTTTTCCTCTCCGCACCACCCGAACGGTGTGCCACTCGTTGTCATTGAGCTTCTGCCCTGCATACAAGGTCTCTGGTCCTTTGCCTAAGGATGGTAGTAAGTGCCAAAGTTAGAATCAATTCTGAAAGTAGTGCTCATGCATCAGGGTTGTCAAAACCACACTGGTGCACATGACCCAGCAGCATTCAAGGAATTATATTCCACCCAAAGTCCATTCGAATTTTACTGATCCAGTGGATTCTCTGTAGGAGTCCCCAAATGCAAAAGTCTCAATTCAAACATAAAGGATAATGGTACAGTAATGAAAAAAATAGTGCCTTCTTTTATCTTAGATATAAGGTTTTCAAATGCCAATGGCAGTAAGCAATCATTTACAGGAAGCTGTAGTTAGCAGTCATTAATCTCTCAAAGTTTTAGAATCCAGACGAATTCCTTTAAGATATAGGAAATTTACCATAGTATTTTTTCTATAGAATAATTTGGCCATTTGGCATGATACACCAGTCTGGCTTTTAGAGAGTATCCACCAATAGGACGAGAAAAGAACTTTGCAACACATATGCCTTAACTTGACATTTCCATTAACACAGGGTCCTACTAGGATTCACGACCATAGAAATCACAATAGTAAGCATTACAATAGTAATACTGTCAAGTTTTAAACCCCATCATAAATAATGCTCCTGAAGGGAATGTGAGGGCCCCCAGAATTTTCCCATTGTTCATCATCCTCCAAAAGGATCCAAATACCTAAAAACTGAAATGATGTAAAGTTCCAAAACTGAAACTTTTCAGGACAAAAGCATGACTAATATAAAGTGCCACTAAATAGAGGAATAAACCAAGTTGTCTCAAGAGATCCATGCTCCAGATGCTCAAGCTAAGGTTCAAGTGAACCCTATAAAGAATCAGGGGTAACAGGAATTGTACTTAGGGGAAAAAGATGGCAAGAGAGACAAAGAGGCATTAAAATGATCCAGTTAATAAAGGAAGAAAATATCACATTCTTTTAGGATGTATATCGTTATTGATCTGAAATGCAAATTTAAAAGACAAAGAAGATTACATAGAAGCAGAAGACAGACCAAGTTTGCTCTTTGTAGGAGGATAGCTGAGCTCATGAAGAAAGACGCTGATTAAATATTTTTGGATTAGTCAATCTATATGTGGAAAGCCCCATTCCTGAAAATGACTAGGAAATAAAATGATATAACATATAAGTGGCTAATATATCCCTATGGATATATGTGAAATAGTTTGGAAAACCATATACTTGGCTCCAACATATACTGAGCACAGGGCCAAGTACATAGTAGGAGCTTTAATGAGTGCTTGAATAATCAATGTCTATATAAGTCTGTTTCTATGGTAACCATCAATTAGAGTCAATATATTTTATCTAAGTAATTTTGAAAGCTTTATTATGTAACTGTCACTAGCTACACTCCTCCCTCCTCTCCAAGACTGAAGACATTTTATACAGGGGAATATAAATCTCTAGGTAATTTCAAACTACACCTTTTAATTTTGAGTAATTAGTATTCCTATTTTCTGCTGGTTATAAGAGCTATGGTAGTAGTTCAAGTTTGGAGGAACTCTCCTCTTGAAAAATAAACAGAGTTTCAAAGTGAAAAATTTTCTTTTAATTACAATGTACACAGCAAATGACTTATATTTAATAATTTTCAGAATGCACCCAAAGCTCAAGGGCAACCCAAATTTACAAGAATCTTGAACATTTAGTAAGGAAACCTAAAGGACCAAATGCACTCAAAATTAGGTAGTGATGCCATGAGAGCAATGAATCTTAGGAATAAAGTAATTCTACAATAAACCATTTTAGATTACATCTCAGCTTATCTTGCTTTGTATGTTTGTCTCAATATTACATAAAATGTATGTATTACAACAGAATTTCCCTGTATTTTCAACTGATTAGATACTACTCTTCATTATCTTATTAAGTTCAGGTCTAAGATTGATGTAACAGTTGCCATCACAACAGCCAACAGTGAGGGCATTGAAAGAAAATGGACCACATCATGTGGATTCTTTATAACAAGAACAGATGTTCTCAGAAAAAACAAATCTGTCTTTGTTTTTTTATGTTTTTATCCTCTTTATTCTACATGCAAATGCTTCAATAAGAAAGAAAAAAGTGAAGAAAGACGTGGAGAATATTAGCTATGAAGGCAGAACTGCTACAAGTACGGGCTATTTAAAACATCTTCTATAAGGTGGCATCTGTTCTTTAGGCAATTTTTGTACATCGCTTAATTTTTATGATTGGGGACAAGATAAGCGGAAAATGACTAACACAAACATAGTAGTTTGGGAACATTGCTTCATTGGTATGACAGTACCTATAGAGATATAAAACGAGCTTTCTCTCAGTCCAGTGATGCTAACGTTTGGAGGTCCATCAGCTCTTATGGTATCCTTGAGATATTCACAGTGGTCAGATTCAAACACAAATATTTAACTGTCCATTTGACTGTAAAACTTTGGAATGTGATGGCCAATGAATAAAAATGTAAAAAAAAAAAAAAAAAAAAAAACCAGGCCAGGTGCAGTGGCTCACGCCTGTAATCCCAGAACTTTGGGAGGCCGAGGCGGGCAGATCACGAGGTCAGGAGATCGAGACTATCCTGGCTAACACAGTGAAACCCCGTCTCTACTAAAAATACAAAAAAACTAGCCGGGCATGGTGGCAGGCGCCTGTAGTCCCAGCTACTCGGGAGACTGAGGCAGGAGAATGGAGTGAACCAGGGAGGCAGAGGTTGCAGTGAGCTGAGATTGCGCCACTGCCCTCCAGCCTGGATGACAGAGCGAGACTCCATCTCAAAAAACCCCCAAAAAACTGAAGCTTCTCATGCCCTACTATTTAGTTACATTTGATACCTCCAACAGTAACAATTCTTATTATTCTTAAAGTAGAAAAAAAAAGATTCACATCCATCTCATTAAAATGATATGGAATAGTATTTGATATTCATTTTCAAACAATAAATAAATAAGTCCCAGTGGGATTTTGTAAAACCCTTGGCCTCCAGAAGTGGAGAGTCAATGGCATTTATCCTTAATCAAGTCAAAAGGTCAACTCATTCTACAGAGGAAAAGTGATGTTTACACTCAGCGGGAAATCAAGGCAAAGAGAGAGGAGAAACAAACCTAATAAGTAGCCCAGGCATAAAAGTGAATTGATAAGTAATGCAAGATGCAGACACAAGCTGAAGGTTGAAATATACAAAACTGTTCTTGATGATGTAGTCTAGGGATGACTTTTTCTGGCCTATTCAAGCAAAAACCCAGTGAAGTAGCATCAGTGAAGCAATGAATGTAAAGAGTGATTCACGTAAGTAAAGGATGGTTCAGACAAAAAGAAGAAAACACTGAAATTTAAAATGAAACTAGTGAGAACTTAAGAAACGTCTCAAAACCATTAACTTTCCTGCATTTTTAATAACTAGGAAAGTTATGATCTGCAACTGGGTACATATTAGTTGTATGTATTACATGTATTTTTCCCTCTTTTATAGTTTAAGTAATAAATATTGATCACAAAAAAAAATCCTTTGATTCTCTTGAGGCTGCTTAAACTATCACTGCTGGATCTAAGTAGAGAATGTTAATAAATTACCTAACACTCCTCAGTTGAATTTCCCAGGTAATGACACTCATGCCTGGAATAAAGATGCAAAAGATTTCTGGGATGCAGAACTTTGTAAAAATAGAGTGTTTAATTGTTTACTATTGTAGAACAGAGAGCCTTTAATGAATCCCTTGGGTAATAATACCACCCAAATGCTCACACAAGCTATCCTCATTGAAAACTCATTTAGCACCATCTCTTTGAGGTAAGGCTTTGCTTCACAGAAGATGGCCTAATTCTCTGTTGAATGGGGAATACGGAATAAGATATCATGGATGAAATACACTGACTAGATTGTTTTTCTTGACCTATCCTACAGTAACCCTATGGAACCCTTATTTCTTTAAGAAGCCAGAACCAATAATGAAATCAAACAGCAATATTAGGAAATAATGCATTGCTGATTGCTTGGAGGAAGATGACACTCAGCTATTATCAGATTTTTCCCTCTTTTGGCAGACAGAAAATCAGAGTGTATGTTAAAAATCTATATTTGAGCATTATTAAAGGCACACACCTTCATAAGGTGAACTTTGGATTTTAATTATTTTTAATTTATTTCAGTTTTCTTAAAAACTAGACTGTTCATATTACATGAATTTCTTATTCCCCCCAGGAGCAATATAAGCAGCAAGACTACAAGTTACCCCTGACATACACGTGTTTGTCAATGTATTTCTAAGACCTGGCCAAACCAACTAAACCAGATGGGTTTGCTCATACGCAGGGGGTAGAAATTCCTTCCATATGCCACAAAGCTCTGTTTCCAAAAGTGTATGGGGAACCATTGGAAACTTTTGCTTGGGTGGAGGTTGGGGAGGGAGGGGGTGAGATCTGTATCATAATCACTTGGTTTTACCTGAACATCTTTCTATTTATTCAAAGAGGTAAATGAAACAGTAACTTGATTTCCCTTCAAACTATGTTTCACATGAACCAAAATTTCTACAATGCATAAAATATATGAAAATTACCCTCTTTAGAAAGGCGTAGTGAAAGATGCCTATAATTATACATCTAAATGATATGGTTAATAAATGCTCAAAATGATGGACTGTGTTAGATTTGAAGGAAACCAAAGATATGTCAAAAAAGAAAACTTACCTTTGCTTCCACCAGCCCCTTTGGCTAGGCTAGCTGAGCTGTGACAAGCATTTCACTAAGCCCATAGCATCACACATTGTATTAGGCATCCTCCCCAGACAAAACAGATCAGGCAAGTAAAAGCAGGGATGATAAGGAAAAAGAACAGGACTGAAGGAAGAAGAGGAGGACAGAGAAGTAGGAAAAAGGCGTTTTATGTTCTGTCCACAAAATTTCAGCTTCTGGTTGCTTTCTTTGGGTGTCTAACCCAACAGAGATTGAGGAGGTGTTTTGTTTGTTTTGTTTTGTTTTTACAAACTTAGTTTTAAAGCGTTCATATTCACTGGAAAAAAAAAACATTTTAAATCATAATTATTTTTAGAGCCCGTTTGGCAGAACACCTCAAATAGTTCATTTCATTCTTACTGGAGTACTTAAGGCTCAGGAATAGCTGCCATACCTCCTACAACAGGTGTGGAAGGTGCAGGGATTTTTCTTGAAGTCTTCTACAGAGAAGTCTCCCAGGGAGGTGTGAGAAAGACAAGTGACCCAGCTATTCAGCCTGAGCACCCTCCAGGAGCCCCTGCTTCTAGTTAAAACCTACTAAAAATGCCACCAATATTTATCAGGATTTAATAAGCAAACATACCATTGAGACTGCCACATATAACAAGTTCAACGATGGACTACTCACCTCTTTCTCCGTGCCTCATCCTCTACTTCAGCCTCCCAGGGTATTAATAGAATACTGTTACTCACTTCTGCCAAGGTTTTGCAAGACTATCTATTCACATCTTTCACAAATGCTAATTGAGCATCAGAAGGCAACCAGGCACTGTGGTCACATTCTGATGCTCATTCTGATCCTCATTGTGGAGGATAAAAAGATAAACAAGACAGAACGGGTCCTGCCTTACATGGTTTACAGTCTACTTTGGGGTGAGAAAATCTGATAGACAATACACAAATTAAGGAACATGAGATAATTTTAGATAGGGTTGAGTTCTGTCAACCCTATCTAAAATAAGGCAGGGTAATACGATGAAAAGCAGTTGGGGGTAGGGAGTGAGGACTGAGGACTGGCTACTTTGTAGAATGTTCCAGGAAGGCCTCTTTGAGGTGACTTCTCTACTCTTGTCCTGAGCAGTTGGTTGGGTAGAAAGATACTAAATGAGATGATCAGAGAAGGCTTCTCTGAGAAGGTGCATTTAGGAAGGAGCCAATCATGCAAAGCTGGTGATGTAGGCAGAGTCCAGATCACATGAAGTCCTAATGACATGGTACAAACCTGAAAGCTCTTCAACACATACTGGAAGCTCTTGGAAGGTTTTAAGTAAGGAGATTATATAATCTCAATTAAATTTTGAGAATCACTCTGGTTGCTGTAGGTATATTAGACCAAAAGTGAAATAATGGAAACAAGATCTATTAGGAAGCTATTAAAGAAAAGAGATGAAAATGATTTAGGCTAAAACTAGGAGACAGTAGAAATGAAAGTTGTAAAATTTGGGATGTATTTTAGAGGTGGAGTCAACAGGACTTGGAGATTGGTTTGGGAGGTGAATTGGTAGTAGGAGAAGTAAAGAGAGAAATCAGTGTTGATTCCTAGGGTTTGCTCTGACAAACTGGGTAGATGAAAACAGCCTCACTGAAAAGGGAAAGATTCCAGAAAAAAGTAAGACATGATTGATCCTACTAGCCAGAGAAGGCTACTTCTGGTATTGTGTCTCTCCTATGAGTCACACTTGATAACCAGCTCCCGGCAGCTTCCTGCTGCTGAGACGTATGAATCAAAGTTCACTGCTTGCCTGATTTTTCTTAGAATAGTGTTAATTTATACCTCAGGCCACAACTATCTATTGATGATACAGGATTGTTGGGTGTTGCTATTTGCCCACCCACCTCCCTCGTTCCCTTCCTTCCTTCCTTTTTTCCTTCCTTCCTTCTTTCCTTCTTTTTTCTTCCTTCCTTCCTTCCCTCCCTCTCTTTCTTCTTTTTGTCTTTCCTGCATGGTTTCTGTTATGTGCTGTAACCTATGCCTTAAGACTAGAAAAAAGAGTGCCCCTAACATTACAAAGCAAACACTGGCAGCCCATTCAATAGCATCTCTAAATTGTGATCACAGTGTAAAATGAACCCATTCATCTTGGCTGAGAGAATGGAGCATCTCAATTTTGAAATGGAATGAATCTGGAGCAGATATACCTCCAAAGAAACAAATGGCTCCTCAGAAGATGAAAAAGAATATTGTCCCCAATGTATTGCCAAACCTCTACCTCAAGCCATAAATTTACAGCAGTGCTCAGCAGTGGTAAGCTGGGGACAGGCTCAAGCTTTCTTGCGATAATCTCTCTCCATGAAACCACTTTTCAAGAGATAAGGGCAATTTTCTCAGGGATAGGCAGGAAGATCCTTTTGTGGATATTGATTCTACTCTTGTTTTTAAAAAAACTTTATAACAGATACTGAAACTTTCTCCACTTTTCTAATGGTATGATTAATACAAATTAGATTTCTTACAATGATTTTTAGGTATTATAGTGCTTTTGAGTCTGATCGTGTGATCTTACTGTTTATCACTAAAGTCACAGATTTTGAAGCTGAATGTGATTGAGCTAAAGAGATTCTAACGAGGATATGCCATAAGACCTGCTGCCTACCATCCCCTAATACATTTCTAATTTAAGTCTGTATTCTTGTGAATTGACCTTTTTGCCCTAGCATGCAGAAAAAAATATATATCCAATTATGAATTTAAAGGTCTAGTACATTAATATTAATTAATATTTTGCTTTAAATAGGAATCAAGGAATGCAAAATACAGCTTACATTTGTCTCCCTCTATTACTTTTATAACCTTTCTATCTGCAGCCATCCCTCCTCAGCCTTCCCTGACCCTCCCAGCTGAGAGTTTACTGCTTCAGCAATTCAATAAAAATTTTATTTTGCAAATGACCACTCTATTCCTTGTATTGTAGTTTTTTTTTAAAAAAAAAAATTCACTTCTATGCCCTTTGAGGTAGAATATTCTACCTTTGTAATCCCCAACAACTAAGCATGGCACATTGCACCAAGAGGGTGTTCAATGTATTGGAAAAAAACTAGTGAGCAAATAAATAAAACTGAATAAATTAAATAAACAAATGAGTGGATGGGTTGAGGGGGAGAGAAGAAATGGAGGGGGAGCTGAAGAGAGCTGCAGACTGTATTTTAGCAATAGGACAGATTGAACCGATTCAGGAAAGCATTCCATATAGTAGTAAATACATATAATTGAATTAATAAGTGAATACATAGAAATGGATGAATAAATTAAAGGAGAGTAAATTTATGGAGGGTAGAGGGGGAGAAGGAAGAGGAGCAGAAGGAACTTGGCAGTAGAGTGAATTTGACAAATTTGGAGCTGAAAGATATCAGGCAGCAGATAGATATAAATGAAGTCACTACTTTTCCTTTTAATATATATTCTTCCTGGCCAGAAAAAATGCAGCTTTTTGGGGAAGTGATAGGGGAATGAAAGTACCATATATAAAGAAGTACCAGTTGCTTTGCATACGTGGTCTCATTTAGTTTTGTAGCATGCAGCTGATCTACTATACCCCAGCTTTAGGAATCAAGAGACAGAGCAAAGCTCTGTGACCTGTCAAGGTCATACAGCTGTGGGACTCAAACCCTAGTCAGCCTGTCTGAAAAATCCTTCCTCTCTGGTTTGTTCTCACAGTTTCTCCATGTTTACATCCCTGAGTTGTCCTGTCTCAGGACTGAAAGAGGACTAGGGTGAGGCTGGGTAAAGGGCATGGAGGATATGGGAGACTATTGCTAATTATGAAACAGAAAATCTAATTCTAGGAGGATAATGAAGAGTATAACCTGGGCTTTCTTTAAAGTATTTGTAAGACCAGGGTACAGGCCTAGCATACAGAACCTATTAATAAAGCAAAAAAAAAAAAAAAAAAAAAAAAGTTAAATGTGTATATTGTAAATGAAAGTGAGTATGAAAAATATCATATTTGTATGCGCTTCCAGCAGACCCTGCATCACGTGCCGCCTGGCATCATATTCCCTCAGCCAATGTCAGATTTCAGCCACTGCAGCAGGTGACAGTTATTGTGAGCTCAGACAGTTTGATGGTCCCCCACTTCAAGCATGGCCAGCCCTTGGGCCTTCTCTAAAGCTAGGGTGCCTGCCCTGCCTGCAAGAAAGAGCAACCAAGAAATGGGAGTGAGGGCAAGAATACCCTAGGGGTAAATATCAAAGAATGGGGAGGGGAAGGGAGCCAATGAATAAATACTCCAACCTCCTATGTTTTAAGCAGAAAATCCTGGGAGGCATTCATGGCAACACCTTCATCTCTCCCACCTATGCAGTGCTTAGAGCAGGAATCTTGACAGTGGACACTCATACTGGTGTTTCTTTCTGCACTGCTTACTCTCCCTGCTCCTTCACTTCTGCTTTTGGGGACCACTCCAGAAAAACTATCTCACCCAAGTCTTTGTCTCAGGCTTTGCTCTCAAGGGAACTCAAACTAAGATAAAACCTACATAGCACTCAATCATGTCCCATGCAGTAACTCAAATGTTACAGCAACCGCATGAGGTAGGTAACGTCAATTACCTAGGATGAGATTAAGAGGTTAAGTGACCTGCACAAGCTCACAAGCTATTGAATTGTGAAATTAAATAAAGAATCCAGTCTTTCTGATTCCACAGATAGATTGCTTCCCATTAACCTAGATAGCTGCCTGTCCTGACTCCACAGATAGATCACTTCCCATTAACCTAAATACCCACCTAGAGTCCATGAAGCCCACAGAGTACAGAAGGCAGTAGTCTGCTGTCAGCACTCAGGGCAGGCTGAGGGACCATGGTTGTAAATTACCAAAAACTGACCAGACTCCTGGGGTTGTGAGGAAGTAGCACAGGTCTCTAAGCACAATCACATAGCTCTTCACTCTGAACCATGGAGGACTTTTGGGAACTCTAATTTGTTAATTTGTCTAATTCACTCTACTGCCAAGAATGAGGTTACGATCATTCTTAAATAGCGTAAGTCTATTCAAGTAAGAAGCTAAGTGATATGCTCTTGATACCCAAAGACCCTTCAGGTTCTATCTGCCATATTCTGGATGAATATCCCATCTGGATGGGGGACTTTATGTATAGATATGAAGATACAGTCATTGGATTTTAGAAGTATCCCAAGACAAAGAGTTCTGGGAATACGGTATTTTCAGATCAACCTCCATGGTGTTTGCAGCATCTCCTTCCTACAATAGAAAGTACTAAATATAAGGTAAAATTGGGAAAAGAGGGATATTTGCAGCCTCTTTGGCATGGTAATTACAAGGCCTATCAGCTTATGAGCTTGATGGCATTAGCTGATCACCCACTGTGGACAGAGGTAGCTGCCACACAGAATGGTCTTACTCCTGGCTAATCTGTCTTATCCTCTTAGCATCTGGTGTATGCAACTGCAAGACCCAGGAGGCCAGATTAGCAGAACTATCACTCTATTCTGGTTCTTGTTAACTAAGATGATGAGATTTGTCCTTCCTAAAATAATATGTATGTAGGTTTGAAAAGTTGAGAAATTATAGCTCTTCGTCTCCCTGGAAATATCATATCCTTATAGTCCCCACAAAAATAAAACTTGCAAGACATGCACATAGAGAAAATAATTAAAACTAGAACATCAACAAAAATAAATCAAGTGTATTTCAATTCAAATGTATTTGTTTCCCCTTAAGTAAGACTTAAATGCAGCTGGCTCTTAATACAGCAAGCCTGGCCATGTATGACGCATGCAAAACCGACTATGTTGGCAAACAGGACTAATTTCCATGCGCTGTCTTCATACTTCTGTGCAACAGTTTGGGCACAGTATGGATGTAAACTTCAAACTGCTGACTGCCTCCTCCATGCACCCTGAGTTCCTCATTAACATGGGGCATCAAGCAGAAGAAAACTGTTCTTACCTAAGAGAGTGAAATTACCACCCCACTTTCAGACTGTATAAAGAAGGAGGGGTTTAATTTAAAAGTTGATGACCTACTAGACAGGTGTTGTGAAAGTTTCTGGGGTGCGAAGATGAAAAAGATACACTCACTGTTCTAAAGGAGCTTAGAGTCTGCTGGGGGAGTTGAACAAATAAACACCAATCATGTGGAAGAACAGGTACAGAGGTGTCCACTAGATACCCTGCTGGTGGGCACTCAGGCCATCTGGAAGTCATCAACTGTCTGTTCCTCTTCACATTCTTCATGGAGGAGTATACAGATTCCATAAGGCATAGACCAAGACCTGTATTTCTGTATCTTTCTCAACTCTAAATAGCACTTTCCTTGGAAGGTACATTGGATTCTCAAATAAAGAATTAATGTCTTCACATACTTGCACAAGACCCCGTTAATAATAGACCACCAGACAATAGTCATAAGACACTATTCTAAGTGCTTTACCTATGTTAACTTACTTAATACTCACGTCAATCCCATAAAGTTGCTGTGGTTGATTACATTATTTTTGACAATATTTGCTGTCTTTTCCTACCAGCCTCTTCCGAATAGGTCCACCCTTTCTGGAGGGTTACATTTTCTGCCTCTTATGTCAGGCATTTTGCCTTATGTGCTTCACAGCCAAGAAAATGTGAGCAGAAATAGTGTGAACCACTTAGAAGGTCTGAGGGCCACCACATGGCTCTGCTAGCTCTCTTCCCTTGGCCACAAATCCAGGATGCGACAAATCAGAGCTGCCTCTTCAGGCAGGGTCCAGAAATGAAGAGGCATGAAGAAGCACTGCAGCAGAACTAGGATGAATATTAATGCCGGTGGGAAATAAAGCTCTGCTCATTTAAGTCACTAGGATTCCAGGGAGGCATCTGTTACTGCAGCATAACTGAGCAGAGCGGACTAACACATGGGTCCCATTAACAACCACATTTTACCCTTGAGAAAACTGACACAGAAAGAAGTTCAGTCAATTGCCCAATGTTGCATAACCTAATTGCTGGAACTAAACCTGGGTAGCCTCGTTCCATTTTGTCCTTAACTACTACACTATACAGCCTCCATTAGCCAAGAGATGCATCAGGGATGGTTCAGAGATGCAATGACTAATCCTCATAGTGAAATATTTTCCACAGGCCGTACAGGATAAAGAGTA
The DNA here is from genome assembly GCF_000001405.40 of Homo sapiens. Lineage (NCBI taxonomy): Eukaryota > Metazoa > Chordata > Mammalia > Primates > Hominidae > Homo > Homo sapiens. Next base: position 78,945,430 of record NC_000014.9, on the reverse strand, counting down.
AAAAACTATTAAATAAAAACATACAATGGATATGCCTTTAATTTCTGAGTACACAGAAAATGAATAAAAGCAGAGAAAAAAAATAAGGCCAGATAAAATGAGATAAGAAAGAAACATATACAGAAAATGATGGGAGAACACAGATTAAAAGAAATTTAAATATTCATCAAACTGCTCAGAGACAAATACCTCTCCAGAAAAAATAAAACCCTTAATAGTTTTATCTTTAAAATGCTGCCAGAACACAAAACCTATGAAAGTGTTTAGAAGCATGTAGTTTGGAAGCGATCTGGTTCTTTTTGTATTTAATAAAATAAATACTTCTGTTTGTGATACCTATAGGATGGGAAGTAACACACTTCACCGGGGGAGATGTCGTCTATATGCATAAAATAGTCCTGTCATTTTAACTTTCAGATTGTTCAGAGCTGTTAAGGCATCATTTAGGCCAGTGGTTCTCACATTTAAAACTTCATAAGAAACATAAATAATGTTAATAGTTTAAATCTCAGGGCTCTAGTCTCAGTATTTCTGATTCAGAAGATCTGGGATGGATACTATGAAGTGGCATTTTAATAAGATTCCTGATATTCCGGATGCAGGTGGTATTACTTTCCTAGGGATGCTGTAGCAAATTATCACAAACTTAGTAGCTTTCAACGAAAATATGTTATCTTTCAGTTCTGGTGAGAAGTCTAAAATCAAGTTGTGAGCAGGTCATAAAGGCTCCAGGGGAGAATCATTTTTGTCCCTTCCTAGTTTCTGGGGGTTTCCTGCAATCCTTGATATTCCTTGGCTTACAGAAGCATCACTTCACTCTCTGTTTGTCTTCACATGGGCTTCATCTCTGTGTACCCTCTTCTGATGAGGACACCATCATAGGAATCAGGGAGCACCATAATCCAGTGTGACCTCATCTTAACTAATTGCATGTGCAAAGACACTATTTACAAATCAGGTCACAATGCTGAGGTTCCGGGTAGACATCAAATTTTTAGGAAACAATACTTAGCCCACCACACAGGTGATTCTCAAACCACCTTTCTGAGAACAATAAAGAATAACCCTTCATTTTACTAAAGCGAATCCTGAGTCCCTGCACCTAGGGGAAGGAATTTCCCATGACCACATAAGTACAACCCAGATCTGACTCCCAGTCCAGTGCTCTCTACACTGTAAACTGGTGCCTGTGGTTCTACTGGTGGCTTGCATTTTTGTAGCCAGAAGTGAAAAGATCATTCTCAGATAATTTTGGTCTGCATACCAGAAGAAAATAAGTGAAGAACTGCATCAGACTCCACTCCATTAGCAAATTCCGTTTCCCAAAGTTGATGCTTCTGAAATTCCAGAGATTTGGCCAATCTCTATTCTTCAACAGTTAGCTCCACTTCCCTCCTAACCAAACCTGTAACTCACAAGGAAACTCTGGAATGTCTCTCTCACCACCTGCCATCCTCTCACCCTTCAACACCCCAGTCAGCATCCCTCATGGTTTATCTCATGCTGTTGCAAACTAATTCTTCAGTTATCCATATCCCCAACCAGATTGGAGGCACCTTGAAAACCAGGTCTAAAATGCCCATGTCTGCATCTACACACTCAGATGCTTGTTGAGTAAATAAATGAAATCCCTTCCTTATAAGCTTAATCCACAGTTTTGCTTCTGTTATTAGAGTAAGGACCCTGCCACCTTGTCCAAGACTAAACTCTCCTCTGACTCCACTTCCTATCCTTTTTCTAGATTCTTTGAGATATATATATATATATATATATATATATATATATATATATATATATATATATATATATTTTTTTTTTTTAACAGTGATCTTGCTTCTTTTCTCAACCTTCAGACTTTTCCTGTTAGCTTTCTTTAGGCACCTTAAATTTCACTCCACTCACAGAAGCCCTCCTCATAACCCTGCCTCTTTCCCTTGCTTTCTCCATTCACCTTGACATTTTAGAGTGTCCCACCAGGGTGCTTCTCCCCCCAGACTTCACAGAATCCCCCTTGACTGCTGCTGAGCCCAGGTTCCTCTGCCCTCCAAGCCCTCCCCACCAACCTTTTGGCAGCTAGTTATTTTCTCTGCTGTTCTATCTGGTTACTAATAATCTGCAAATCGCCAAGCATAAGGAACATTTTCTAGTCTTCTTCATCACCATTAGGCTTCAGCAGCCACTCCCATCTTCAGTGACATGGCTGTCCATGGTTTTCCCACATGTATGAACTTTCATGAGCAACCTCCCCTCCCTGCCTCTTCCCCTGTCTATTACTTAACTCTGGGATTCCCCAAAGTTCCAGCCTCTCATTTCCTTCTCTACACATGTGTTGCTCCCTGAACCATCATATAACTCCAATTTAATTTTTGATTCATCTTTATTTCTTTCCTCAGCTCTGTTTTTCTATTTCAAATTTCCTCTAGGGTATTTCTCAGACATCTCCCATTTTCCCAACCCTCCCTCTCTTCCAACATCTCTCTTAAGGTCATCTTCTCAGAATATTTATTTTTTTGTTTCTTTTCCTTTTTTAACTGAAAAATAATTGTACATTTTTACAGGGTACATAGTGATGTTTTGATACATATAATATATATTGATCAGATCAGGGTGATTAGCATATCCATCATCTCAAATATTTATCATTAGTTGTTTGGGGAACATTTAATATGTAGTATGCTCCTTCTAGCTGTTTGAAACTGTATATTGTTGTATCCTGCAGCTCTCTGGAACACTAGCACTTATTTTTTCTATCTAGCTGTAATTTTGTGTCTTTTATCAAATCTCTCTGTGTCTCCCATTTTCCCCCTCCTGTTTTCAGCCTCTAGTATCCTCTGTTCTACGTTTTATTTCTATGAGATCAATTTTTCTCTTCCTTTCTCTACGTTCCTGGTACTACTCCCCCATTATGATATATTTGGCAAATTTTTAGGTCCCAACCCTACTTGAATAAATCATTTCAAATACTTCAAGGAACTTTTTTATTTCTGTTTTTCCAAATCTTTCATGTCTGACATATGGGCTCCAGATATTCTTCAGCTCTGAAACACTCATTGTGGCTCCCAAAGCTGAAAGTAGAGGCTCAGTGTTAAGACAGGAAGAGTTAAGAGTCAGAGACAGGGCTTCTGAAGGTTATAGGTGAGCCTAGGGTGAATCAAGAACAGGACTTTAGAAGGTTGGTAAGAAGCAGGTTGGTAGAGAGAAAGAAAGTGAAGTACTTGGCAGGTTTGAAGGATGTATGATGAATCCATACTTGAAGGGAAGAACTCTGTGGTCTATATTCTGTTAGGGTAACTCTTCTTATGTTGGCTCCAGAGCCCACACTCTGAGCTACTGTGCCACATTGGCTCCCCATCACACTTTCCATTAAGACGACCTATCATCTCCAATCCAACATTGGTCTACTGTGGCTAGCACACAATCTCACAGTTCTCTCTACTCTCTGGCCTAGAAGCAAGTTTTTTCAGATTTTCCAAGATTCTAAATGGTGCCTCCTCTCTACACCCCTTTTGCTGATGGTGGTGCTTTTTAAATATGAGCACTGAAATAGGGTCCTTGCCACTTCAGGGCTAACTCGACAATCCCAAAGATGGCACAGGGGTGCTAGAGAACAGCTATGGGAGACCAGCGGGGATAATGACGCATAAAGTCATTGTTACACTTTGTACTGGAGCTTAATATTTAATCCCCAGAATACTGGGAAGTAAGCATTTTTATCCCATTTTACAGATGACAGCAGTAAGAAACAGGGATGTTAAGTTATCTCAGCCAAGGGTAAATAGCTACTAAGTAGATGCAAAGCCAAGCTTATCTGGGTTTATATAAAACTGCCTTCTGGATGGATGATGAATGTGTGAGTGATGGGTAGAACTTCAGATCAGACCTCCATAACCAATGGTGCTTCTGAGGGAGCAGATGTGAAGGTTTGCGGAAAACAAAGGGGTAGAGGAACTAGAAATGCTTCTTGGAACTGATACTTAGACTGGGTGAGAATGGGGGTGGCTGGGTGAGGCAGCAGGGGAATTTTGAGAAGCACCACGGGTAAGGAAAGGTGAATCCCTGCCAGCCCTAGATCATGCCACTGGAGGAGGGGACATTTGTATATGGAGGTAGTTGATTATACAGTGAGCTTATATTGACTGGGATAAGCTTGTAATGTCTGTGAGAACTTAATATCCCCCAGTTAGATGCAGCGTAGATCATCCTGGTCTCAATAACCTGACTTTCTACTTCTCATTGATTTTAAGGTGATGCTGGCTATGAACTCCACGAGGCCAGTGATTGTGCCTATTTTTTTCAGAATCTAGTCCAAGGCCTAGACATGGTAGTTACTTGACATGCATTTATATGAATGTATTTAAATGCAGCTTATGGACATTGAAATTCAAAGTGTGAATTGACTGCCATCCCCTAACACAGAAACAGGGAGAAAATGTGGTTATGTGCTTATTACAACTAATTATCCTGCTTGAGGCTACATATGCTCCTACTGAATCATAATCCTAGCTACCATTTATGCAGGGTTGTGAACTGATCCAGCTCTCTTGGGACCAGTGGAAGACAAGTTCTAATTCACAGCTTGATACACATTAGGTGCCCAACAGATCAGCACTACTTGCTGCTATTAATAATTTACAAAAACATATTTAAGTGATTTATAAAAAAATCTAGTAATGGGAGTACACGGTAGTTGGGGGAAAACGTTCAAGGGAAGAAATAAGAGAAAAATATCCCATCTAAACTGAATTTGTAAATGACAATTATAAAAATCATTCTATTCAAGGAACAAATATCTGCCAACTTGTTGTACAATAACATTTATTTGTTATTACTCATTAACTCAACAACTCATCAAATATTTACTGCTTATTTATAACACACTGGACATTGACTAGTGGCTGGAGATAAAAGGAGAAATATATTTTGATCCCTGGATCAAAGTTACTTACAGTCTAATGGAGTAGAGAGTGATATAAAAATGTAATACAATGTTTTAAGTGCTTTAATACTACTATGAGTTCTTTGCATTATACCTAAGGAACACAGGGAAAGAGAGAAGCTATTGGGAGTGTGTGTGTGCATATATACATGCACATTTGGGTCTGAGTTTGGGGTTAAGAAGATAGTGGTGTTCAAGTAATACTTGTTAGAGAAAGCAAAGCTTATGCTTTTTAATGAATGTGCAGAACTAGTGCTCCAGGTAGACAAGAGATTTTAAAAACTGCCACGTATAGAGATTAAGAGAGCATGCAAGTTCAGCAAATGTCGAGTACTTCCGTGTCGTAGGGTAGTGGAGGGCATTTTTATGAGAGGTAGGAAATGAGTCTAAAGATGTAGCCAGGAGGAGATTTTAAGAACCTGCTTACAAGAACCTGCTGTACTGAAAACTTTGTGTTTTATCTCCTAGATCAAAAAGAACTCTTAAAATATCTTAAACAGGCTGCAACGTGTGTTTGCTGCATTATTTAAGATTATTCGATTTTGTCATAGCAAGCAACAAAAAGTTGGATGGAACTTATAGAATGGATTAAAGCGTAGGGAGCAAATTGATAATCTCTGAGAGCTGTGAGACATAGAGAAAATAAAAAGAGCACGTGTGTGCTGAACAAAGATAAAAAGGATGAAATAAGAGAGTTACTTCCCCATAGAAAGGGATGAAAGTACAGAGTAAACCTTAAATATTTATGAAGCTCAGACAATCTCTGTTGACTCCTTCATCCCTAAACTGGTCAACCCATTGGTGACATCCATTTTGGTCCCATTCTGGCCCCACATTTGCTCTGGTTGATACATAGAGATAAAACATATATCTAGTCACCAGGCTAATTGGCAAGTGATAGCTATGGCCAGATATACTTGCCCTTGTGTCTCCCCAGGAGGGCAATGGTGTAACAGGACCAGTGTTTCCCAGCTGTTGTATCCCTTTCTTAATCTCAACTCTGGTTCTTGTAACTACTTCATCAGCAGGGAAGACTAATATGGCAGAGAGGGAACCAAGGTAGATGAACATTGTGTAACCAAGGATTGAGATATGGTAGTCTTTCTATCCCACTTGCACACTCTCCTGTGTTTATTGAACCAATCACTTTCCCCTTGATTTATGCTTAAAGTGTACCTTAAATTGATTTAATAAACAATTTATAATTTCACATCTTAGCTTGGTCTAGGAGGCTTTTTGTTCCATGACCTCTGGGGCAGCCCACTTGAATGTACCTGGAGTGTCAAGGTGATTTTCTACATGCTGCTGGGAATGACAGGGTCAGATTATTGCCTTAGAAAAATCACTCTGGGCCGGGCGCGGTGGCTCACGCCTGTAATCCCAGCACTTTGGGAGGCCGAGGCGGGCGGATCACGAGGTCAGGAGATCGAGACCATCCTGGCTAACACGGTGAAACCCCGTCTCTACTAAAAATACAAAAAATTAGCCGGGCGAGGTGGCGGGCGCCTGTAGTCCCAGCTACTCCGGAGGCTGAGGCAGGAGAATGGCGTGAACCCCAGGGGGCGGAGCCTGCAGTGAGCCGAGATTGCGCCACTGCACTCCAGCCTGGGCGACAGCGAGACTCCATCTCAAAAAAAAAAAAAAAAGAAAAATCACTCTGGACCTTCAAATATAAAGTCTACATGGCTGGGGAGTGGGTCTGGAAGCAGAGAGAACAAGTCCTGACTTCCTCTTACAGCCAAAGATATGCAACATCTATTTCAAAAAGAAGGTTTAAATAAGATTTAGAAGCTCCAGGCACACTAAAGAGAAAATGTCCTAAAGAACCACATTCTTGACTGTTAAACTAAAATAAACTCAACTTTTTGCAATCCACAAAGTCAGTGAAAACACCACCTAGAGGGAAAAAAAAATCCTAATGTCAAATAAAAAAAGGTTGAGATTTCTCCACATCCACGTAGGATTATCCAACCTTCCTGGTGCACTGATGGTGTCAGGAGAGTTTGCAGAGATAATAGCCCACCATGATCACAACATAATTCTATAATCTCTCATGTGGCCCAATAGGGTGCCTCTAAGAAACTGAAGCCAGCAAACTAAAAACATCAGGTAAAGGAAATAGCTGAATGATCATTCAAATGCCTCACAATAAGTAGTGAGCCAGCAGGGTGTGAGAAAGAACATAGGATTTTGAATGAGCCAGACATGGCTTCAAATTTCTGCTCCAGCAGGTACTAGCTGTGTGACCTTGGACAAACATCTAAACATCTCTCAGCCTCAGTCTCTCCAAGTTACAAAATGGAAAGACTCATCATCACTTTAATCAAGGGGATATGGTGACGAATAAATGAACTAACACAGAGAATGTGTCCAGCACAGGATCTCCTCTGTATTCATCCTTTCTGTATTTAATTCCATGAAGATTAATAAATGAACGATTAGCAACTCATATCCTGGTTATTCCAACAGCCTACCTGGATGCCAGTAATAATCACTTGTCTAAATGTTAACTGTTTTCTCTGTTTCTGGCTTATAACAATGTTAAACACACATTCCTTTAAGCAACTTAATGCTAGTAGGTTGCTAAGGCAACTTTCCCTAGAAATAAGCAAGGCCAGCATTGGGTCACTTGGATTTTAAGCAGTCAGGTTTTTGAGAAACGCCAGTGAATTTTCCTCTCAAAGGAACATTGTCTGACCATGAGTTGTGAAATGTTTTAAGCAGCTTACATATTCCTGTAACAGTACACTCAACCTTAAAACCACTGTGTGAAGTCAGTGTCACTTATATAGTCCTAAGAAATGGAGAATTTCCTGGTGATATCTTCCATTTCAAAGTCTATCATATTCTCATTAAACATCCTTTGAATTTTTTCCTGCATTTCTTTTTAAAAAATATGATTTTGAACCTAACTAAATACACTCTATTACTGTTAGATTTTTGAAAAGAAGAACACAAATTTGGGAAGCCAAATCATATAATGTTCAATTAAGAAGGGTAATTTACTCAAAACAGGAACAGTGAGCAGCCAAGTTTCTCCACTACTGCTTACAGGACTGTTTTGCCAGGTGAGCCCCTGCTGTTTCAAAGAGGGATGCAACACTTAGAAAAGAAACAAATTTCAGCAGCAGAGGCATCAACTACAGCAAAGGTGGGGTATGTACATTTATAGACCACAGACATACTGCCTGAATAAGTTTAGGTACCACCAAAATACTTGTAGACTGAACATGTTAAATGGAGATCAGAGAGACTAGAAATTTTTTTCTTTTTCTTTTCTTTTCTTTGTTTCTTTTTTTTTTTTTTTTTCAATGGCACGATCTGGACTTACTGCAACCTACGCCTCTTGGGTTCAAGTGATTCTCCTGCCTCAGCCTCCCGAGTAGCTGGGATTACGGGTGCCTGCCACCACACCTGGCTAATTTTTTGTATTTTTAGTAAAGACGGGGTTTCACTATGTTGGCCAGGCTAGTTTCCAACTCCTGATCTCAGGTCATCCACCCACCTCAGCCTCCCAAAGTGCTGGGATTACAGGCGTGAGCCACTTTGCCCCACAGAGAGACTCTAGAAATTTGAAAAGTGCCTTGAAGATTAGTAAGTCCAGCCATCCTACATCTTTGATGAGAGACCAAAGGCATGAAAAGGGTAAGATTCTTAGAACTAGCAATGGAATGATAACCCTGAACTGTGGAAATTACTTCAGTGGTCTCTCTATCAAGACACAAGCAACTCTTCGGGCTAACTGTGGCTGAGGCTATGGGGACACTGGATGCTGAATGTTTTCCATGTTTTCTTTTAAATTGAAGTATAATGGACACATGATACACTGCACATATTTAAGGTGTACAATTTTATAAGTTTTGATATATGAGTAGACCCATTAAAACATCAACACAATCAAGATAAGCAACATATACATTATCCTCAAAAGTTTTCTCATGGCTCTTTGTACTCCCTTCCTCTCCCTGCTCCTCTAGCAGCCAGGGTTCTGTTTTCTGTCACTAGAGATTAGTTTGCATTTTTTAGATTTATATAAATGTAACCATACAATATGTACTCTTTTTTCCTCTGGCGTCTTTTATAGTGAAATTCTTCCTTGTTTCTCCATAGTTCCTTGGTGAGTTCCAATAAATGGTTATTTATGAAAAGAGGTGGTGGGGAATATTTGTCCTGCTGATTGTAGTTTGCAGACCCCTAGTTTAGTTCTAGGGCCCATGTGCATAACTTCTATGCTATTCCATATCCAGCAGAGGTAATTGAAGGCAAAATATAACCAATAGCCAGAAGATGAACCACAGTGGAAAGGTGGGTGTGTTTGTGTACATTGGGGAGGAGAGGGATTATGAGCTGTGAAGTGAGAGCTAAGGTAGGAAAGATAGATGGACTGCATGTAATGCTAAGGAATTGGACATTGTCCTGTAAGCAATGATGAATCTTGGGAAAGGTGAATTTAAAAAGAATGTGAAGCGGATTACGTGAAGACCAGAACAGAAAAAGCACAGAAAGGCCATTCAACTTACTTAGAAAGGAGGTAAATAAATCCTGAATTCAAAATGCTCTATAGCAGAGTGAAATGAATGAAAGGTATAAATAGAAGAGATGGTTGAGGTGACCCCCTGAATGATAGGAATGGAAGGTGGGGGGACAAAGTTGAGGATCACTTACACTTTTCCAGCCTGGAAAACTTGGTCTTGCTACTTAATTTAGATGAAACAAAGAAAAGAAGAGCTGGGTTTGAGAAAGAAACAGCTATTAGCTCTATTTTAAACATCCTGAGTATGAGATGGTGGGATAAACAGATGATCCTTCATATCTGAGGGGTCCACATCTGTGGATTCGACCAGCTCTGGATTTAAAATATTCTCAAAACCTTGCCTCTGTACTAAACACACGCAGAACTTTTTCCTTGTCAATATTCTCGAAACAGTAACAACTGTGTACATAGCATTTTCATTGTATTATTTATTACAAGTAATCTAGAGATGATTTTACAGTATGTGAGAGGGTGGGCATAGGTTACATGCAAATACTATGCCATTTTGTCAGGGATTTGAGCATCCTCAAATTTGAGTTCCTTTGAAGTTCTGGAACCAGTCCCCTGGAGATACCAAGGGATGGCTCTATACATGGAAATGACTAGCAGATACTCAGAAATGTGGACCTGGAATTCCAGAGCCAGATGCAGCAGGTTAGGGCTGTAGAATACATTTTCACGTACATATATCCACAGCCCTTTGAGTCAAATAAATTGGGTTTTCATTGATCACTGTCATCTGCAAACTACTACAACCTCTCAGTGACATACTGAGCTGAGACTATGATGTCATGGAAGCCATGTTTGATGTTTTTCAAATTCTAGTCATAATTCAATGCCAGAAATTGATAAGGCACTGCAGCCTCTAAGCCACAGTGACTGACTCAACCTCTCCCATATGCCTAGGAGCCATAACCGTAGGCCCAGGGAAGCACAGGAGGTGAGTGAACACTTAAGCCCATTGTCTATTTCTTCTTTTATTATTATTATTATTATTATTATTACACTTTAAGTTTTAGGGTACATGTGCACAACGTGTAGGTCTGTTACATATGTATACATGTGCCATGTTGGTGTGCTGCACCCATTAACTCATCATTTAGCATTAGGTATATCTCCTAATGCTATCCCTCCCCACTCCCCCCACCCCACAACAGTGCCCAGTGTGTGATGTTCCCCTTCCTGTGTCCATGTGTTCTCACTGTTCAATTCCCACCTATGAGTGAGAACATGCAGTGTTTGGTTTTTTCTCCTTGTGATAGTTTGCTGAGAATGATGGTTTCTAGCTTCATCCATGTCCCTACAAAGGACATGAACTCATCATTTTTTATTTCTTCTTAAATGGTGCCCTTGGGTATCACCAACAGGGAGACCTGTTGCTACTGGCTGAGGCACCTGGAGTAAAGGCATCGGTAGGAGAGTTGGAGCTGCCGTGGTTTGTGAATCCGTCCAGCAATCTGCCTTCTTCCTCAGAAACAGCACTCTTGCTGGGCCCATAGAGGAGATCTGAAAATGCTTTAGAGCATCATGTGTGCAAAGACACCCCCTGGGTTCTCTTCATCCATGTCTCCTTCTGGTCATGCTTGGGCATCTGACTGAGCTGGAAGCATTGTCTGGGAAAGGGACACTTTCCTTTAATGAAAGTTTGGAAAGCTCTCGTGTTTACAAATACCTCATGGCCTTTAAAGAATAAGACTTAATAGAAATGGACTGCTGAGAGATGATACATTTAGCAGGGTCTCTATTCTAGAGCCAGAAGTTCAGTGCTTTGGTTTTGGGGTTTTTTTTTTTTTTTTTTTGGTTGTCGTTTTCTTGTCCTCTGGTGCCCTCCTGTGTTCTGTTCTCAAATAACACTCAATTTACAAGACCCAACTAAGGTAAGCTCAAAGAGCAGTAAATCTTTGATAGCATAAAAGGATTATTACAATAATCCACAGGCTTCAGTATATTTCAACAAATGCATTTCCTCATCAACCGTAGGTATTTACAAACAGCTGAAGATGGGTGGGTACCAGAAGCTGGGGTGGTTGGGGGTGGGGAGTGGGGAGATGTTGGTCCAAGGCATACATATTTTCAGTTAGTTAGGAGAAATAATTTCAAGAGATCTATTATACAGTCTAGAGACTATAGTTAATGATGATATACTGTATTTTTCAAAAATGCTCAGAGAGTGGATGTGAAATGTTCTCACCATAAAGATGATAACTATGTGAGGTAATGTATTTGTTAATTAGCTAGATTTGACCATTTCATTATGTGTGTTTGTGTGTTTTGAAGTGTCAATAACAAAATGGTTAGATCTAGCTATTTAAATTATGATTAAATTAGCTAGATTTAACCATTTGATTATTGACACTTCGAAGCATCATGTTGTACACTATAAATACATACAAGTTTATAAGTCAATTAAAAAACAAATTTGAATTAAAAGAGCAACTTTACCACTTAAAATAAAAAACAGTTGCAGAGAACCCCCAATGTTTAGCGCATTGCCTGCCAGAAAAATATCTGTCAAATAACTAAAGATCAGTTAGCCACAAAGTTAAAACAGGAAGTATACTGTGCTTACTGAAATATTCTATTACAGAAAATTCATGGAGAATTGCCAAATTGCTATGTTATCTTGGGCTATATTTACATCTACTTTATAAACTAAAACAATAACCATAAGGGAAGAGTCTAACGTTTATATTTTCATGCATTCTTCCATTCAAATATGTACTGACCTCCAACTATGAGCCACATTCTGTTTTAAGTGCCAGAAAGTCAAAAAGGATGACATTGCTCCTGCCCTCAGGCAACACACAATCTAGTGTTGGAGGCAGAGAAGTAACTTCATCATTTCAGTACGAAGTGAGACCTGCCATGTGAGACAAGCATTGGGCATCATCAGCTCATGAAGGATGGACAGACGATGCAAATTGTCAGTGTTTCATGCCAAATTTCAACTGCAAATATTGGAATTGCCTATGAGCTATCTTCCTGCCACACACCTAGGTTTTGATCCCTACAGTGTGTGTTGGGATGTCATATTTTTATAATTCAACAACTCCAAGAACTCTGACTAGGACATAGAAGGTACCCTGGATTTTTAATAGATTCCCTGAACTCCTCTTTATACAGGGTTCTACTTCATTGAACAATAAAAAATATATATAAAGGTGGAAGGATATATAAAAAACACCTCTTTTCATTCTCCTAATTATTGAGAAGGTATGCCTCAAGGCTAAGAATTAATGGCATGCATTCTATGCTTGTCTGCTTTAGTCCTACTGTACAAGTACATTGCAAAGTCCAAATCCCATAGCTCTGCTACATTTCACAAATGTGCCCACTCCTTTTTCCAACCCTTAAGACCTCTGTCCACTTCCCTGCGGCTTTATGCTTATATTGTCATAGCATCCTTTTTGCAGGAGTTGTATCATTCAGTGATCTTGGAATATTGTATCCAATGCAATCAGACTCTGATCCCATATCCACTACTTCAATTGTGATTATTAAACCTCATCCTTCAGAATTTCTTCTAAATTAAACACAAAAATTGGACCACCTGTCAACAGGTACTCAAACTAACTAAAATATAAGGCCATAAACTATTATTTCCTTACTCAGTTTTGCTTGCTGGCACCTGACAGAGAAAAATAAGAGTTCAAAAATATTACTGGGTTTGACCTGATCAAAGTGCTGACTGCAGACTTTCCACCACCCAGTGCCACAGAGCCTAACTTCCCCTACTTCTATCCAATTCTCAAGCTCACACTCTCTAGCCAAATGATTTCCTTGGCTTTTTAAAAAAATTAATTAATTAATTAATTAATTTAGAGATGGAGTCTTGCTCTGTCTCCCAGGCTGGAGTGCAATGGCGCAATCTTGGCTTACTGCAACCTCCATCTCCCGGGTTCAAGAGATTCTCCTGCCTCAGCCTCCTGAGTAGCTGGGATTATGGGTGCCTGCCACCATGCCCAGCTAATTTTGTAGTAGAGACAGGGTTTTGCCACGTTGGCCGGACTGGTCTCGAACTCCTGATCTCAGGTGATCCACCTGCCTCGGCCTCTCAAAGTAATGGGATTACAGGTGTGAGCCACCGCGCCCAGCCTTCCTTGGCTTTTAGCAACATAATTTATCTCTGCTTCCCAAAATTTGCCAGTGTACTTCAGTGTTCCTAAGACAATCTCTCATCATCTAATTGCAATATTACATTCCTCTCCCCTTTGGCACTGTAACTCAACCCCAGATCTTTTGGGATATTTTCACCAAGATGGCATGGTCTGTAGCAAAGAGAACAGATTTTTTCAGAGTTAAGCATTGAACTTTTGTTCTAGTTATACTTTTGCCCTTTTAGGTAAAGCATTTGACACTAAATATATGATTCTCAGGGTCCTCATCTGTAAAATGGGACTATTAATACCCATGGCACAGAAGCCTGCAGCAAGCATTCAATAAATGCTGGCTTCTTTTCCTCACTTCCTCTCTCATAAAAGTCACCTACTTTTTAAATGTGATATCACAAAGTCCTATCATTATCGCATGGAAATTATGTCCTTGTTTTTATTTTTTTACTATTTTCTAATCTCTTAATTCATCATTAAGGACAGAGAACAGTATTGCTGGTAGGACAATAATTAATATTTTAGGCACTCAAATGTTACTGATTCTTTAGACGACTGCCCCCAACAACCAACCTGCTCCCCAAATCCCATGCTATATCCCCAAGGTCTTGACATGTTTGAATAAAAATATCATTAGTTTTGTATCCAAATAATCTGTTAAATTACAAAGGTTGATTAATTCTGCCTTCTAGTGAAGGATATTTAGGAAAAAAAAATTCATGTTGTGAATCAATGAAAGGATAAAAGCCAAAACTCTGGGGACATGGTTCCTGACCACAACTTATTCATTGTATACCACTCATTTTGCTTAGGAAAACATTTTCCTTTTACTATATTAAATATCAGGTCATCCAGATGCCTCTATCATTTTCTTCTTTATATTCAAATTATGTGTGTATGAATTACCTCAGTTTCATACCATTTCCTGTGCAATGAGCAAAAACAAAATTCTAAGTACTACATGCCCTGGAGCTCTGTGACTATATACAGAGAGAACCACCAGGATTTGTTGCTCTCAGGGATAGATATACCTAGAAGATGGCTCACTACACCTTTCCACCTGTCACCACTACAGCCTGGCATGATGGAGACAACCTTGGGGAAAGAAAGTTTGATTCAAATGCTGGCTCCCCACTTAGCAGCTGCATGCCTTAATGAATTGACATACATTCTTTGAGTTTCGGGTTCCTCATCTGTAAAGCCACCTTCAGCGCAGATAAAAGTATATAAAAATCCCCTTCCTTCTTTCTTCCCTGCCTTAGCTTAAGTGAATTATTTGCCTGTCTTGGTGCAGCAGTAGCACTTCGTGCTGTAATTCATCTGTTTACATGCCTATCTCTCCCACCAGACTTGAGAGCACAAACCAAATCATATTTGTCTTAATTACAATAGGCACTTAACAAGTGCTTGTTAGAATCCTCCTTCTTAACATACCATACTATGTTTAGGCAACGGTGCTGCTAACTGAATTTTTCAAAATTTTAGCAAAGCCACAGAAAACCATTTACTTATCACCTTAGTGTGCCAGGAACATGGATTTTCTTGTTAATCCACTTCACTTCTATTTCATGATACTCTCTCTCAGCGTCCTTATCAGACCATCTGCTGAGGCATATAGGAAGCCTGGCTTTTTACCTTACAAACTTAGTTCATTCTTAACATCTACATGTCTCCTCCACTGACATTGGTCTATTACTTACAGGCCAGCAGGGAACTTGAAGAGCGTTAAGCTCAAAGAGTTTAAACAGGTATAAAAAAAGCTGCCAGAATTTTTACACCCTGCAGTTATCTACAGCTGTTCATGCCATCTATTTAAAGAAGTTTTAAGGTAGGCTGACATTAATAATAATAATAATAAAAGCTAACATTTATTGAAAACTTGCAATGGTCTAGAAGCACTTGACAGGTACTGTTTCAGCTAAGCTTCACAAAAAATATCATGTAGCTTTTATCATCATACCTTCCTTAGACATGAGAAAATTGAAATAATGAAGTGTTTAATCATTTCCTTAATTTAAAAACTGTAAATAATGGTCTTTTCTCTCCATATTTAATGCTTCCCTTATAAGGAAGGTCTTGTGGTAACAAATTTCCTTAGCATTTGCTTGTCTGAATACCATTTGATCTAGCAATCCCATTACTGGATATATACCCAAAGGAATATAAATCATCCTATTATAAAGACACATGCATGTGTATGTTCACTGAAGCACTGTACGATAGCAAAGTCATGGAATCAACCCAAATGCCCATTAACGATAGACTTGATAAAGCATATGCACCATGGAATACTATGCAGCCATAAAAAAGAATGAGATCGTGTCCTTTACAGGATCATGGATGGAGCTAGAGGCCATTATCCTTAGCAAACTAATGCAGGAACAGAAAACTGAATACTGCATGTTCTCACTTATAAGTGGGAGCTAAATTATGTGAACATATGAATAAATAGAGGGGAACAACACACACTGGGGCCTTTTGGAGGGTAGAGGGTGGGAGGAGGAAGAGGATCAGGAAAAATAACTAATGGGTACTAGGCTTAATTATTGGGTGATGAAATAATCTGTATAACAAACCTCCATGACATAAGTTTATCTATATAAAAAACATGCACATGTACCCCTGAACTCAAAATAAAAATTAAATAAAGGGCTAATATCCAGAATCTACAAAGAACTTAAACAAATTTACAAGAAAAAATCAAACAACCACTTCAAAAAGTGGGCGAAGGATATGAACAGACACTTCTCAAAAGAAGACATTTATGCAGCCAAAAAACACATGAAAAAATGCTCGTCATCACTGGGCATCAGAGAAATGCAAATCAAGACCACAGTGAGATACCATCTCATACCAGTTAGAATGGAGATCATTAAAAATTCAGGAAATAACAGATGCTGGAGAGGATGTGGAGAGATAGGAATGCTTTTACACTGTTGGTGGGAGTGTAAACTAGTTCAACCATTGTGGAAGACAGTGTGGCAATTCCTCAATCTAGAACTAAAAATACCATTTGACCCAGCAATCCCATTACTGGGTATATACCCAAAGGATTATAAATCATGCTACTATAAAGACACATGCACACGTATGTTTATTGAGGCACTAATTCACAATAGCAAAGACTTGGAACCAACCCAAATGTCCAACAATGATAGACTGGATTCAGAAAATGTGGCACACAAACACCATGGAATACTATGCAGCCATAAAAAAGGATGAGTTCATGTCCTTTGTAGGGACATGGATGAAGCTGGAAACCATCATTCTGAGCAAACTATCGCAAGGACAAAAAACCAAACACCGCATGTTCTCACTCACAGGTTGGAATTGAACAATGAGAACACATGGACACAGGAAGGGGAACATCACACACCAGGGCCTGTTGTGGGGTGGGAGTAAGGGGGAGGGATAGAATTAGGAGATATACCTAATGTTAAATGACGAGTTACTGGGTGCGGCACACCAACATGGCACATGTATACATATGTAACAAACCTGCACATTGTGCACATGTACCCTAAAACTTAAAGTATTAAAAAAAAAATCCCTGTAAGTAATGAAGTCAGAATTTGCAGGAGGAAGTCCTGCTCTAAAATCTGTAACTACCTTTGCCTGGGGTTCCTCCTAAAACAAGACCTTGAGACAAGGATTTGGGAGCATGTCATTTATTTGGGGGAAGATCCCAGAGAGCAAATTGAGGAAGTGGGGCAGTGAGACAGAGAAGGGAGGAAAGCTGGTTAACAACCCCACTATTGCTGTGGACAACTGGGATTTGGTACCACCAGGGAGCCTCTGAGAGATTGTGGAATATGTCTGAGAATCATCTCCAAGGGACAAGGAAGCTGTTGTATTTATCTACAAATTCTAGCCCTCATGTCTTGAGCATGGGCAGATAAGCTCCCCCAGGCAGAGGACTCCCTCAGATATAGAGACTCAGGCAGGCACTCATTTGCAAACTGTCCAAAGGAGACCTTGAGATAGGCTGAGGCATGTAGAGATGACACTAACCATGGTGCCTTAACGACTGCACTGTCCTGTGTGGGGAAAAATGCACAAATATGAGCATTGGCAAGCTTAAGTTTGCATGCATCAAAGAAATAAATCAAGTTTCTCTCAGATAGGTAATCCTGCCTGCAAAGTACCTATGAAATCAATATCATAATGGTCTCAATCTTATAGATGAGGCACAAAAAGCTTAAATAACCCACATAGGATCATAAAATGCATGAGCAGCATAGGTAAAATACAGACCCAGAAATTCTGCTCAAGAGCCAAAACTCTCAACACTGTATGAAGTAATGGTAAGTACCATGTAATATATCTGCTGAAGCTGCCAGCGCTGTTTCAGCCGAGGTCAGCATTCACTTTCTTCCCTGTCATCCCTGGTGCTCTATGAGGCTACTGTGGTTGCCACTGTCACTGCACTCTCTAATTGCAGGAAAAACATTCCCTCCTTTCTGCTCTGAGGAAACCCTCCTCCTTACGCTTGTTCCCCAAGGCAGCCTCAGAATTACCAAGTTACAGAATGTTCTGTAGGACTCAGGAATCAGGATTCTGAGTGCCATGGGGAAAAGCATTGTCAGAGGCAGCTGGAATGTGGGCTCCATAAGGAAAGACTTAGTCTACCTTGTTGATCAGCACCCAACAGAGTGCTTGGCATATAGTCGGAATTCTGAAAAAAACTTTTTTTTTTTTTTTGAGGGTCTCACTCCAACACTTAGGCCGGAGTGCAGTGGCACAATCACGACTCACTGAAGCCTCAACCTCCTGGGCTCAAGAGATCCTCCCACTTCAGCCTCCAGAGTAGCTGAGACTACAGGAGTGCATCACCACATTTGGCATATATATATTATATATATATATAAAAATATATTATATATTATATATATATTATATATATTATATATATATATAAATATATTATATATTATATATATATTATATATATTATATATATATATAAATATATTATATATTATATATATATTATATATATAATATATTATATATTTATATAAATTATATATAATATATAATATATATAAATATATAATATATAATATATTTTATATATATAATATATATAATATATATATAATATATAATATATATTTTATATTATATATAATTATATAATATATAATATATATTTTATATATATTACATAATATATAATTATATATATAATAAATATATATATTATATATAAATATATATTATATATAAATATACATTATATATATATATATAATTTTGTATTTTATTTTATTTTTAGAGACAAGGTTTCACCATGTTGCCCAGGCTGGTCTTGAACTCTTGGGCTCAAGTGATGAACCTACCTTGGCCTCTCAAAGTGCTGGCATTACAGGTGTGAGCCACTGCACTTGGCCAAAATTATGTTATCAATGAACACTAATTACAGTATTTATTCACTGTTTTGCTTTCCACAGTTTCAGTCCAAAAATATTAAATGGAATATTCCAGAAATATATAAGAGAGAAAGACCACATTCACATAACTTTCATTACAGGATTATTTTTACAGTTGTTCTATTTTTTTAATTACTGTTGTTGAACTCTTACTCTGCCTAATTTATAAATTAAACTTTATCATAGGTATATGTAGGAAAAACACAGTGTATATAGGGTTTGGTGCTGGCTGTGGTTTCAGGCTTCCACTGGGGGTCTTGGAAGGTATCTCTCATGAATAGGTGGGAACTACTGTACCTATTAAAAAGAACACTTCATTTGGAGTCAAAAAGAGGTAGGTTCCAATTTCAACTTTTCCACTTATTCTGTGGTCTTGGGAGTTTCCTCAGCTGTAAAAGGGGAATTATAACAACTGTAATAATTATAATTTTTATGTTTATTGAATAGTCCCTATGTAAACAAAATACTTCAGTGAGTTTTACATAATATAATTATCCCATTAATCCTCTCTACAATGGGCGACTATTGTTGTGCCCTTTTCAGAGAAGAAGCAGCAGATTTCTGGAGTGTATATTTCTCCTTAAGGTCACACAGCTAGGAAAGGGAGGAGTCTGTGCTGGTAACAATGGTGCTACTGCCCTCCTTGGCGGGTTTTTATGAGGACTGGCCTCGTACTTAGCATATAGAGATGGCTCCATGCGGAAGCTGTGAATCATCTCATTGGTTCGGCCCCTTTCAATAACTATATTTAAATCCTGGAGGTCATTCAAGATCATTTCTCAAGATTCAGTGCACCAAGCCCCTTTGTCAACTATAATTGGCACGTTCCTTTCAGAGGGGTCACCTGTGTTGACATAGGGAGGGTTTGGCAAAAACACCAATCCAGAATAGAAGTAAAAGAGCTGCACAATCACATTTAACTAGTATGTTTTCACATTATTTTATTTTCCTAGTTTTGCACATGTGTAAATAATCTCCCTATGCATGTGTGAATTTTGAAGTGTACCATGGCAAGTGTAGTGTTATAAGGCAAAAGCTGAGCTTTTATTTTCTTCGTATATCAGTGTTCATACAAGAAGAATGTAATAAATGTTCTCCATGGCCCACTGCACCTAGGGCATACATTGTTTCTCACTAGAAACCACTATAAAAATTTACTTCATTTTGTAGCTTTTTCTGCTCTAAACTCTATAGGTTGCTTAACAATTGATTTCTAGACAGACTTTCACAGCTTATAGGAATATTATCTCTGTTGAAATATTTCCTCTTTTAAAAGACAACCTAACAGATCCAGATAGGATTGAGAGCTTGTCAGAACGCTCAAATGAGTCAGCTGATTGTAAACACGGCTCTCCGTCTAATGAAATCTGAAGTTAAACATTGAGTCTTCTTGTTTGCCATTGCTATTGGAATTATAAAGATGAAGATGTGCCAGAGGTTCTTGCTTGTGAATACTCACACTCAGCTCTGAACTCTTTCGGAAGGGTGCTCCTGTTCCTCTTCAGTAGGTTGACAAAAACAATCAGAACTGTGTGACTCAATTCCCCCCTATTTCTGAGACTCAATTTATTTGAAGCTTCTAGGGTCTAAACAATCCCTTTTGGATTGCGTACCAGCAGCATCTGATTTTAACAAGAGTTATTTCACTTCTAGAAATTACATCAAGTTCTGTTCTCTAGCCTGAAAACTTTTAAATTTCAAATCTTTAGACTTTACAGGATGACGTATTTTACTGCTTTACTTTTTTTTGAAATTACTAGGCTAAAATTTTTTAGAAAAGACTTTTAAGAAAGGCAATGGTTTGTTATCATCAAGGAGATGAAGCAATAATTTATTGAGCACAGCCCATGTTCAGAATAGAAATAATGTTTCTACTCTGACAATAGGCCATGAAGAAAACTGGAAGAGTGGGGGTTAAATCCTGAGGCTCTGTAGTAAGATGGGCCCAGTTCAAATCCTGGTGTCTGTATTTTATGTCAGTGGGAGCTTAGGGATGTCTCTTATCATCTCTTCTTCATTTAAAATACAATAGGGCTTATGATATCTATTTTACATGGTTGTTTGGGTGTTATCGGGTTTGCACATAAACTACTTAAGATAAAACCTGGCACTTACTAAGCCCATAATAATTGTTCACTACTATACTCACACGTATTAAAGTTTTTTTGTTTGTTTGTTTTTTGAGACAGAGTGCCCAGGCTGGAGTGCAATGGCACGATCTCGGCTCACTGCAACCTCCACCTCCAGGGTTCAAGTGATTCTCCTGCCTCAGCCTCCCAAGTAGCTGGGATTATAGGCGTGTGCCACCACGCCCTGCTAATTTTTTGTATTTGGTAGAGATGGTGTTTCACCATATTGGTCAGGCTGGTCTCGAACTCCTGGCCTCAGGTGATCCACCCGCCTCAGCCTCCCAAAGTGCTGGGATTATAGGCATGAGCCACCATGCCCAGCCGTATTAATGGTCTTAATAAGGAATCTCAAAAAATACCTTAGAATAACCTTACAGAAATATAGGACAATTAGATTATCAATGGGTTGAAGAAGAAAAGTCAAAAAGAGCAGGTTAAGGAATTAATGTCAACCCAGTTGGAAGATTATAGTAGCATTCCTACTCTAACAGTACCTTCTTCCCAAGGCTGCCATGAACATTAAGCAATACAAAGCTTATAAAAGCCTTAGCACAGTATCTGTTGTACAATAAATGCTCAGGCACACGCACAGATCAAATAACTTGAAGGAAGGAAACATAGCAAAGCAAGATCTCCACCAAAGATACTGGATGTTCTACCTCTTGGCATTTCCTTAATTCCTCAATTCTCTTCTGTCTTGTGGGAGCAGGAGCATTGATTAGAGAATGGCATCTTTGTGAACCTGTTCACTAATATACAAAATAGCACATCAAAGCCATTCTCTCTAAGTGAAATCTCAACCTCTCTGTGATGCCACTAAAAGGTGAAACAACTTAAATCCTTCAAAAGCCTTAAAAGAAGATAAGAAGGTAGTTTGCCAACCTCCTTTTTTCATTTCTATGCTGTTATGTTTAGTGCATCGAACATACTCAAACCTTCAAAGCAGCTGTTCAGAAGATAAACTGCCTCATTCAACATGAAGAACAGGAAATGTAAAAATGTATTCTCTCTCTCTTTTTCTTTCTGTAGCTAGCCTGAGGGCAAAGAGATGTACAACAAAAAGTGTTGGCAGGATATTCAATGTATTTCACTGAGTCAAGCAATAGGGTGTGCTCAACCATGAGAAGGTGCTTGTGGGCTCGAGGCAGCACTCAAGGCCAAAGGCTATTCCTTTGAAGAGATCCTCAGAGAAAGAGGGGTCCAGAAAAACCTGACCGCCTGTCCCTAGAAAGTCACATACTACATAGGCAGCAATCATCACATCAACAGTAAATGAAGCAGACTGGAATAAGACTGAGACACCTTTCCCCCAAGGCGAAGGCACCACTTAGTGGAAACCCACGGGAAAAAATGCTGCTGTGACAATGTCTGCAAAACTTCCATTCACATGAAAGACGCTAAAGAACACTATTATTATTTTTTTAATTTTATTTTGGGGTCTGGGATACATGTACAGGACATGCAGGTTTGTTACATAGGTAAACATGTGCCATGGTGATGTGCTGCACCTATCAACCCATCACCTAGGTATTAAGCCCCACATGCATTAGCTATTTATCCTGATGCTCTCCCTCCCCCTGCTCCCCTCCACCTACAGGCCCCAGTGTATGTGATGTTCCCCTCCCTGTGTCCATGTGTTCTCATTGTTCAGCTCCCATTTATGAGTGAGAACATGTGGCGTTTGGTTTTCTGTTCCTGAAGAACACTATTATTTACTGGAGAAGTCAGCTGAATAATAATATAGCATATTCAAAGTCCCTTATACCATCTGCATCTAAATTGGACGAAGGCCCATACACAGCGTAAACTTGATCTGACAAACAGCCATATTCAACATACTCTGATACACATTTTTTTCTGTTTTGTGACCTTACCCTCAAAATAGAAAAGATATTTTAGAAACTATAACAATAATTCAAAAAGTTCTCAAAGAAAGATAAGAACTATATTCTATACCTAATTATATTCTGGGAAGTTCAAAATGTTTGAACCACAGACTGGAGCATCTTGTTTTATTCACAAGCTCGGTCCAGTTGGACTGAATCTCATTATGACTGTTAATGTTTTAATAGAGGAAAGTGTTCACTCTAAAGGTATAGAATATCCATATAGGACGATAAAATATTCTTGAAGCATTCTGCCTTATTTGGAGAAAAGAAAACCTCAGCATTCTTACATGCTGTAGTCATATGGAAAGGAAGTGATTTGTAAGTTGATAGCGAAATCACCAGGGTTACAACTTCAGCAGCAATAAATAACTTCCTACTTAGAGATGTGGAGAAGTCAAGGAGGATGAGATAAACCAGAACAAAAGGAATATGATGTGAACATTTCTGACAAATATGTTTCCTCAAGGATTATTTTAGGGAAGTGGTTTTTTAAGGAAATGTTAAGATTTCTGCAAGAAACTCATACTACAAATCTCCTAAATGCAAAATTCAAAGAACAAAGTAAGCAATATCAAATAGTCCCATATACAACTAGTATAAACTTAATAATTCATTGATTTATATGTTTGTCTAGGAATTTAAAATTTCATGTATCCATTAATCCATGTGGGCATCATTTTATGCATGTATTTTTGTCCATGAGCTGTATAACCTAGATGACAATCTAACATAGAATTTCAAGGCATCTTCTCTGACTAATCTTTCCTGGTTCCTCCACCTAGCACCCTATCCTGTGCTTTGATAAGAATAATGTGCCAATCTTTGACCATCACCATGTCAAAAAGATGAGACTTAAAGTGATTTAGGTGATTAGAAATTCAGTGTTGACTTCTCCATTTTTCCCGTCCATTCCACACCCAGCACCTCCTTCCTCCTCCCAGTTTACTAATTGATGTTATTCATATATGGAGGTAAGTGTTTCTGTGAATCAAGTTCATGTTTTATTTATCTTTGTTTCAGTTTTACTAACTTCTCTAGACTGATCTTCATTTCAATGAGTTTGCCTAACTTGAAGTTTCATGAGGACAAGGACTGTGTCTGCTCCATTAACCACTGTATCCCCCGTGCCTTGCACCAAGCTCAGCATATGGCTGTGTGTAGTGTAACAACAACAAAAAAATCTTTCTCCCAGCTTCCTGGCACAAAGCTCCTAAAATCTTCTGAAGGAATAGTCTTCTATTTAAGATCCCTAATGAAATAACTCATGGGGGAGAAAAGGGTAGCTTTTTGCTTTAGGATGAGGACTGATTACATTAAAAACTACTGGATTAGAGGAACAGAACTGAAGGTCCCCGTCCCTGACATCTGGGTTGGAGAGAAGGGCTGGAGATTGAGTTCAATCACCAATGGGCAATGTATAATCAATCATGTCTACCTTAATGAATCCTGGACACAAAACTCTAAAAGATGGGGTTTGAGGATCTTCCAGATTGGTGAACATATCATCATGCTGGCAGGGCAGTGTGCCAGGAGAGGGCATCTATGCTCTGGGTCCTCTTCCTCATGTTTTGTCCAATACATCTCTTCAATTTGGCTGTTCCTAAGTTGAATCCTTTATAATAAACCAATAATTGCAAATAAAGAACATGTCGTGGTTCTGTGAGTGGCTCTACTGAATTATGGAAACTGAGGGGTGGAGGGGGTCATGAGAACCCCCAATTTGTGGTCAGCTGCACAAAACTGTGGGTAGCCCGAGCACTCCATGTACAGTGTCTGGTGTCTAGAGTAGCAGAAGTCTTGTGAGACTGAGTCCTTAACCTGGGGGATCTGTGCTAACTCCAGGTAGTATCAGAATTGAATAAAATTGTTGGGCACCCAGTTGGTGTCAGAGAATTGGAGAAGTGGTTGTCAGAAAAGAAATACAGTGTTCAATGCTTTCTGTTGAATAAATCATTGTTTGAATAAGTGATTTAATACAGAAAATCAAAATTTATACTTTTTTCAAGTAAAACTAAAATAAAAATTTCCAGTATTTTCCGGGGTGTTTTAAGATTTCACTTCCCACTTTTTTGATATTTGATGTAGCCATTGACTTGCTTCGATCAAGGTGACTGGCATCACCTCTGGGCAGAAGTGTTAGGGATCACTGCACAGTTCACCAGTCTGTCTTTTCCTCTACCACTGTGGCAGGCCAGGCTCTAGATTGTGGCTGCTCCATCAGCGTGAGTCTCTGAGTGGGGACGACATGAGACAGAGCTCCAGGTACACCAAAGATAGGATGTAAGGTGGATGAGAAGTAAACGTTGTTGTTTTAAGCTGTAAGACATGCTGATTGTTGCCACAGAAGATCATTAGCTATCCTAATTGATAAAGAAAATTTCAACTTCTTTATTTCATCTTTTTAGTGTAGAATGCTATGCTACAAATAATTGTAAGCGTATATTGCCATTTTCAGAGAATGGCATACCTTCAGATTGAGTAAATTAGATGATGACTGTGACGTGCTTAGCACTGTGACTGAAATATAATAAGTGCTTAATAAAATAACATTATTACTGTTAATTTTGAAAGCTTCAAATAAAAATTGTGTAATGTCAATTGATTAAAAAATTATATTTTTAAAGATATTCTAATGACCATTATAGTAATAAGGCCAAATAAGTTATGTTCAATATGTGTTCACATATATGACTTTGAACAAGTCACTTAACATCTTCAATTTGTTTGCTCATCTATAAAACATGCATTAGAAAATCTCCATTATGAAAACTAAATGAGATATGTAGAAGTAGTAAACTCTAAAGCATTTTTTGACTATGATGAAAACAGAAGAACAGGGTTGCTGTCATTTATGGTGTCCATCCAGCAAAATTCATAGGGGTTGTTTTATCCCAATTCAGCTTAAATGACCATTTGATATTTTAGAACAAAATATTTACCTAAACTCCAATTCTTCTCCACTTGTGTAATTTGATAATAACTACTCATTTCTTTCCTTGGAAAATAGATATTGAAAATAATTGCCAAGGTTAGGTAAATTGACACACGATCAATATAAGATGCTTAGTGTTTTGGTGCCATATTTCAACAACTGTATCCTAAAAGGTCTAAACTGTTATAAATTGAAAAAAGCAACACCATACTCAGGTAATTAGCCAATTATCTGTAATACACAGAATTACAGATATTAGCAATGGATGGAAATTTAGAAGTCATTTATTTCAATCCCAAATAGGTCAAAAGTTTTAGAAGAAAAATATTCTAGTGATGGAAAACAAATAGTTCATCTGTTCTATGTGAAACAAGTGTGTCTCATATAACAGATATTGAGAAAGACATATAAAAAATTTTAATACTAGTTTACCAATTATATTTGGGATCACATGCTTTCTCTTGGTGGAAATCATGTGTATTCATATTCTCAATGCTTACATAGTCATGCTTCACGTAACGATGAGGAAATATTCTAAGAAATGCATCATTGGGTGATTTCATCTTTGTGTGAACATTATAGAGCATACTTACACAAACCTGGATGGTGTAACCTCTACACACCTGAACTATATGGTATGCTCCTAGGCTACAAACCTGTGCAGCTTGTGATTGTACTGAATACTGCAGGCAACTGTTACACAATAGTAAATATTTGTGTACCTACACATAAAAAATATACAGTAAAAATACAGTATTGCAATCTTTGGGACATTCATTGTATATGTGGCCTGTCAAGAACTGAGTTCCTAAGTAGAAAATGAAATCAAGAGAAAAAATATGGATCAGCTCAATTCTGAAGGAAGGGCCTTTTTATGGTACTTGCATGCTCAGCAGTTCATTTTACGCTCTTTAGTCATAATATTCTATCTTTGCCTTAAACTGATCTCAGACAGTCTAAAGTTTAAGGCATATATCTCAGCGTTTATTACTTATACAAACCCCAACGTGTCATGGTTACTTCTGCCCAAGGTCTCTGTTCTGTTCTTCCACATAAAATATTTTTCTGTTTGTTTCATTATTCGTTTTATTATGAAATGACCAGAATTTAGCTTTTCCTAGCTTTTTTCCTAACACAGATATTTCTTTTCTCTCTCTCTCTCTTTTTTTTTTTTTTTTTTTTTTGAGATGGAGTTTCGCTCTTGTTGCCCACGCTGGAGTGCAATGGCGTGATCTCGGCCTACTGCAACCTCTGCCTCCCAGGTTCAAGCGATTCTCCCGCCTCAGCCTCCTGAATAGCTGGGATTACGGGCATGCGCCACCACGCCCGGCTAATTTTGTATTTTTAGTAGAGACGAGGTTTCTCCATGTTTGTCAGGCTTGTCTTGAACTCTCCACCTCAGGTGATCTGCCTGCCTTGGCCTCCCAAAGTGCTGGGATTACAGGCGTGAGCTACCATGCCTGGCCTTTTTTTTTTTTTTTCATTTTTTTATTTTTTTATTTTTTTTATTTTTGCAAAATCACATATCTAGAAAATATTCAGGTTGTTTAAGATAACTATCACTTTTACATTACTCCTAGATTGACTTTGTAATGTACATTAGGAGAATATCTCCTATGAAGAGCATCCCACCAAGTCAGGTGGAGGCCCTCAAATCTGTGTTTTCACACTTAGGTTTCTGGATTTCTGAAGAGCGGATGAGCCTTCCTCATATACCTCCATGTTCAACTCCTCATTCCCCCAGTTTTGTCTATCACCTGTGCACAAAGGACAGTCATTCCTGGGTGCTCCAGGTCAGGATCCTACCACTCCACTCCAGATCTTGGCACCAACACTCTTCTACACCTTCTTTCATCAGCAGCTCAAGACTGTTACACACAGACTCTGTTTAAATGGCTATAGATGCCTGACACCTAAATAATGACTTCTCACAAGAATTCTTAATATAGTCCTTTATATAAGGCTATATATAGTCCTCTGTATAAGGCTTCTTTCCTTTTTTTAACTTTAATTTTCGGTTTAAGGGTACATGTGCAGGTCTGTTGTATAGGTGAACTCCTATCATAGGATTTGTTGCACAGATCAGTTAATCACCAAGGTAATAACCCTAGTATCCAATAGTTATTTTTTCTGCTCCTCTTTCTCCTTCTACCATCCCTCCTGAAGTAAGCCCCAGTGTTTTTTGTTCCCTTCTAAAAAGCTTCTTTCTGTTTTATATCATGACCTTCATACTATACCTGGAAACAGTATACCTTTTTATCCCTCTTTTCTTAGAAATTGGGTTTAAGTGCTTCTTATCCAGTTAATCGAATATTCTTACGGTCTCTTCCAGGCTTAATGAGGTGTTGTGGGCTGAATTCTGTCCCTCCAAACACTCGTATGTTGAAATCTAAACCCCAATACCACAGAGGCTTACCATATTTGAAGATAGGGTCTTTAAGAAGTAATTCAATTAAAATTATGGCATGAGGGCGGACCCTAGTCCAATATGACTGGCGTCCTTATAAGAAGAGGAAACTTGGACACAGACATGTTCAGCAGGAAGACAATGTAAAGAAACAGGGAGAAGACAGCCATCTAAAAGCCAAGAAGAAAGTTCTGGAACAGATCCTTCTCTCACAGCCCTCAAAAGGCACCAACTCAGCCAGGACCTTGATTTGGGAGGTCCACCCTGCAGAACTGCGAGGAAATAAATTTCTATTGTTTAAGTCACCCAGTCCAGGGTACTTTGTGAAGGCAGCCCTTGTAAACTAGTACGTGAGGTATGCTCTATCACCTGCTGTGCTTCCACCAATTAGAATAAAACTCAAATTCCCCACCACATGTACATGGCTGAACATGAACTAGCCTCTCCTTATGTCTCGGACCTCATCTCCCAAGCCCCCCTGGTTTTGTATTCTCCATCCAAACAGGTCTTCTCTAACAGAAGGACTCCCACAAAGGGCTTTTGGGATTCCCTCTCCCTGGAGCACTCCTGCCATGGAGCTTCCCATAGCTGGCTGTTTGTATTCAGGACTCAGCCCAAAGTCCTCACCTCGGACAAGCTTCTGTGACCTACCATCTAAAAGTAGTTATCCCTTCTACCAAAACTCTGCATTAACTGTCTTGGTTTATTTCTTTGGAACATTTTTCTAGCAGAGAAACTCATCACTAGCTTTAGCACCCAGTTTGCACCATAAATTAGTACAATTATAACCCCTTTATGCAGGAAAACAGGTATCATTAGGTTGACCATATGTTTGGGTTTCCCCAGACTGCTTTAATTTATACCCATTCCAGTGTAATTATTAATAGTGCCCCTTTTTGTGATAAAAACAGTCCCAGTTTCGACAGTAAGTAATGTAAAATATATTCTCAAGGCTATCACAATTTTTGAGCTATTTTCTGTACTAGATGATACACCTGGACAAGACACTCAAGACTCCCAAGATGAGAATTTCTCCCAAGACACAAGAGTGTCTTATCTTGGAATTCTTGAGTATCTTCTTATAGGGACATTCTCTTCTTACAAAGACACCAGTCGTATTGAATTACAGTCTGCACTAATGCCATAATTTTAATTGAATTACTCCTTAAAGACTCTATTTTCAAGACACTCTCTTGAGTGTCTTGTCTTGGGAGTCTTGAGTATCTTGTCAAGGTGTATCATCTAAGTTCTGTGAATCACTGCTTTCATATACTGAAAAGGCCACATAATTTTACCCCTCTGTATCTTGGCACATGGAATTTCTTCCCTGAGACCCACCTTTCTTTTCTCCAACCCCAGATGCTGGCCCTCCCCATCATCCATCAAGAAGCTGCACAGAGGGTAACTCTGATCTGAATCTTTCAGTGAGAATTAAGCAATCCTGTCTGCCTATCACATTACAGTGCTATTTATTTCTATATATTTTCCATTTGACTGTGGGCTTCTTAAGGGCAAGAACTGTGTTTCATTTATATTTGTATCTCCAGTATCTAGAATATTTCTCATAACCTCATTGACACTGAACACTGAATAAATGGTACTAAACAGAAAATTGAATACTATTTCTTTGACTTCTCTAAACTCTTGTTCCCTCTGTTTTTGTTTGCTTGCTTGTTTTTTTTCTGTGTGGTTTTTTTTTTTTTTTTTTTTTTTTTTTGCTTCACACGTAGAAAGATGTTTGGGAAACGTAGTTCATTCATTTATATAGTAATAAAATATATTAAATACCAGTGTTTTATAAACCACACAGTACTCCATATATAGAAACTCTAAAATTGAAAACTCAATCCTTGACTTTTCCCTCTATTTTTATTCTCACCTCTTTAATTATCTACACACGCACATACCACTGACAATGGAAGGCAATTTATTGAGCCTCAGGGTCATCTTTCACAACTAGCCCTTAGGCAAAAACATCTCTTTCTGAGATTTCCTTTTCCATTAATTAAATTACCACTCAGGTACTATCTCAATATCTTTGAATTTTTATTTGCTTTCTCCTCTATTACTGGACATTCTGCTAAGTTGTACCATTTGTTCCAATCAAATGGAACAGAGAAAGAGGCTTACTTGAACAAATTATCCCCCCTCCTTCCCCTTATTGCTTGCTTGTTTTGTGTCAACCACTCCCAAATGATGTTCCTGCACCTCCCGTTGCCCCCTTCATTCCATTTTCCACACAGTAGCCAGGGTGATCTTTTCAAAACTGAAGACAGATCGTGTCACTCTTCTTCCCAGTTATTCCTGAGAGTAGAACCCAAAGTCCTCAAAATGGCCTACAGGACAATTCAGGATCTGCTCCTCTGCCACTTTTCTAGTCTCATCTCTTACTTTGCTTTAGCCACACGACCTCTTTGTTGTTTCTCAAACATACCAGGCTCCTAACTAAGCTCCATTATACTTTCTGCTTCCTCTGTTTGCAATGCTTTTCCTGCAGACACCTGTATCACTCATTCCTACCCATCTTTCCTCAAATGCCACCTTCTCACTCAGGCAATCTTTTACATCATTCGTTAAAGTAGTAAACCTTGGTCCTCCTCACCCTGACATACCCTATCCTTTTTCTTTGGTTATTTTCTCCCCAACGAACTTATCACCACCTGTTATACAATTTTAATTTCTGATGTATTTACTGTCTATATCCTCCATTAGAATGTATGTTCCAAGAGTGCAGGTATTTTTGTTTCTTTTGTTCATAGTTATACCCTCAGCTTCCTTGGACAATGCTTAGCACATATTTGGAGCCCAGAATACATTGATTCAATTGATGGATGCAATCATCTTCCTTTCCTTCTAATTTCCCTCACCAATCCATGCACACACAGGAGATGGACTAATAAATGAGGTGTTGGTTGGAGACCTGGTAGTAAGTAGAGTGTGAACTGTAATCATGGGTGGGAAATCACAGCAAATGAAGAGGGTCCAGTTTGGATTTCACAAATCCAAAGATGTCCAAGTTTCTTTCTTGGCTCAGATCAGTTCAAGAAGTGTTCAGAGACTCCGGCACAGAACTGGGAATAGGACTGGGATGTGTCAGTCCAGGCAGAGTCTTTAGGGCTGCCAGGGAGCCAATACATAAATAGCTGATAATAATGAGAATTCTAGAATAGTGGCTTCCAAACTAGCACCATGGGGATCAAGAAAAGACGATCCTGAGATTACCAAGTGTGGGGAAAGCCAGAGCTCCCACCTTCCCATGAGGCATCTCCAAACAAAGCAGTCCAGATTTCATCTGTTTTCTCTTTATGGACTTCAAGTAGGCTTTATTTCTTTTAAACAAAAGATTTTATCTGCTACAAACAAAGGCACAAGCAGAAACTTTAAACCTCATGGTTATATTCCCATGCCAACGAATATGAACATTTCTAAAGATTAGAAGAGGACATTGGATTTAGTGATTAGAAGGCTGTTAATATCTTAGAGGTGGCCGGCCGCGGTGGCTCACATCTATAATCCCAGCACTTTGGGAGGCCGAGGCAGGCAGATCACAAAGTCAAGAGATCGAGACCATCCTGGCCAACGTGGTGAAACCCCATCTCTACTAAAAATACAAAAATTAGCTGGGCATGGTGGTGCACACCTGTAGTCTCAGCTACTCAGGAGGCTGAGGCAGGAGAATCGCTTAAACCCGGGAGGTGGAGGTTGCAGTGGACTGAGATTGCGCCACTACACTCCAGCCTAGCAACACAGCAAGACTCTGTCTCAAAAAAAAAAAAAAAAAAAAAAAAGAAAGAAAGAAAGAAAGAAAGAAAGAAAAGAAAGGAAAAGAAAAAAGAAAAAAATCTTAGAGGTAACATCATCTATAATGTAAGGAAGCTGTAAAAATGGAATTGAGTTTCTCATTTTTGTGCTTACTTTCCGACCTGTACTTGTCTTTAGTAGATCTTATCAAGATTGTAACTGTATAATTAGTATCTTGTTTAGTGTTTGCCTTGCCTCTTAAAATGTATACTCTATTGAAGGAGAGATCATACCTGTCTTTTTCACTGCTATAGCTTAGGTATCTAGGGCATAGTAGGGGCTGAATAAATATTTGTTGAAGGAATAAACGAAGGAACAAGGAATGAATAAACACTAGAGACATCCAATAAAGTCAGTTTCTCACTTATATATAGATATGGACAGGGCCCTTTAATTCAAAAAACAAAAAACTTGGTTAGGTCCTTAATTTCCAGAAAAGGCTATAATCCTCCATGTATTCTCATTCATTTTCTAAAACAAATGGATCCAACAGCAAACCACTCAGAAACTCCAAGCACTTTCCAGATAATCTTACTTTGAATGGTCTGCTGCCCACATTTATTCAAAATCCCAGGTAAGCTATGTATTTATGGAGGATGTAAGAAGAATAAATGATCCTCCAAGTTCTATCTAACCTTTTGAACATACTATCTGCGTTTTCCATCCTTTACAGATTTTCTTTCCTTGAATCTCGTTTTAGTGTCATATTCTCAGCTTTTAGCAAAGGACAATATGAGCAGCAGTGACATGAAACTAAGCAGTTCATTGTAGGTCTGCTATAGGGGAAATTATATCACTGAATACTTCTTACAAAAAGGCCTATGGAGACATATAGTCTCAAGCTATACTGTGTTTCTCTTGAATAACTGGGATAGCTTTTTCTAACTGACAGTAAGAACTGATTGCTTCTCTATTCTTTTGTTAGCCACCAGGAAGCTTTAAAAAAAAATACCAATTTGTTCTGGGTATTTTTTTTAAAGCTTCCTGGTGGCTAATAAAAGAATAGAGATGAGTTCATGTCCTTTGTAGGGACATGGATGAAGCTGGAAACCATCATTCTCAGCAAACTATCGCAAGAACAAAAAACCAAACACCACATGTTCTCACTCATAGGTGGGAATTGAACAATGAGAACACATGGACACAGGAAGGGGAACATCACACACCGGGGACTGTTGTGGGATGGGGGGCAGGGGGAGGGATAGCATTAGGAGATATACCTAATGCTAAATGACGAGTTAATGGGTGCAGCACACCAACATGGCACATGTATACATATGTAACAAACCTGCACGTTGTGCACATGTACCCTAAAACTTAAAGTATAATAAAAAAAAAACCTGTACATAAGGAAAAAAACATACCAATTTGTGGCTCAACCAGGGGAACTGTGTGTGGTTCCTTAAGGCCTAAATATTTATCTCTCTCTCAGACCATCCTCCACCCTAGGGTCTTGTGTTTAACTCTTATTTTTCTCTAGATCACATTTTTTATTCTTACTTGTGTATCATACCATTATTTTAGTATGTGTTACTGTGGCAAGTTGCTGTAAACACTCTGGGAAGCAAGGTGAAATGTGAACATGCAGAAAATAACATGCTTTCAAATGACAGCAAAATAGGTTTGGTAAAACATATTTCTGCTGAAAATACTAATTAGTGCTTTACAGGAATGCCACATTGCCTATCCTGGCTTTTAATAAGTGTTTACTCCCTTTTCCACAGCAGCCTTATGTCCTCAGCTCTGTGGGTAGTGAACTCATTGACAATATGACTAAAATATAATAATTCTTGGTTCAGTAGTAACCAGAATAAAAAGTACTGGAATATCACAGAGGCTTGGTATTATTATGAGGCATCTTATCATGACTTGTATATAGATACAGACAAAACATCACAAAGTTTCAAGTCATACAAAGTTCAGAAAATTCCTCATGACACTGATGAATTATTCAGTTGATGATATCTGAAGGCCTGGGTTCAAATCCCAACTCTATAACTTACTAGCTGTGGGACTTTGCCCAATTACCAGCCCTCATTGTACCTCAGCTTTCTCATTTATAAAAATGGGAATAAAAATGTTATGTATTTCATAGGGTTGTTTTAAAAATTAAATGAGATTATATGTAAAAATTTATAAGTGCTTCATATGTAGCAAACACTCAATGCATGCATAATGTTATTGTTACCATAAAATTATCTTAATTAATATAAAGTCTAGCATTAAATTGAAAACAATATAGGAATACCAGAACTCTGAATGGAATATGAAAAGTCAAATTTATTGAGGATAAATTCAGGTTCTGGATTTAGTTTTCAAATATCCATTGCATTGATATGGGGTGGAGGAGAGCAAGTTAAAAAGAAAAAGTCATCTGAACATCTGAAACATGTTTGGAAGTTTTCATGGACCCAAAACATTTTTTCAACAAAGTTTCTGGTGCACTTGCTATATGCTAGGCACGATTCTGGTTGCTGTTAACATTGGTAAATGAGACTAAGGAGGCTCTGGTCTCACATGTGTTACATTTCAGCAGAGGGAGAAAGCTAATAATCAAGCAAATTAGTGAAGAATTTCAGATGGTGATAGGATCCATAAAGAAAATGAAATAAAGCCCAGGGCTAGAGAGTGACCAGGGCAAGGGCAGAACCAGCAGTCAGGGAGGCTTTTTTGAGGAATGACATTCAAGCTGCTAAAAGATTAGAGGTTGCCAGCCCTGTGACTATCTTGGGGGAAAATGCTCTAGGTGGGAAAAGCAGCAACTTTAAAGGCCCAGAAGTGATAACAAATAGTCATGATTTGGTTGTTAAAATAGCAACAAAAGTTAAGTTACAATGATAGCAGGGAAATATTCATGACAGAGGGCACACTATTGGCCAAGGAAGTGCTCTTCTTTGCAACCCTCCAAGATAGCCACCACTTATATCTGCACCCCACAAATGAGAAAAATTATATACAGAGGATATGTGACTTGCCCAAAGCTACATTGCCAGTGAGAGGTGGAGGCAGAGTATAAATCCAAGCAGTCAGGCTCTCGGTCACTGAGCTCTTTCTGCTATATCTACAATGGAAGTAAAAGTCCACACCACAGCATGGAAAGGCCCAGTGAACTCTCTCCTACAGCAAGAACAGTGGGTTTACTTTGGATAACATATTTCTAAAAGAACCAGAACATTAAAAAATAAGACAGGAATGGACAACAGTAAGAAAACTATCATACTAAGAATGACTCAAATATCTGAGTATAGTTAGCAATACGTAAAGAGAAGGCAAGAGGGAGATATAATCATTTTTCCAGGTGTTTAAACAAATTTATATGAATAAATGATTGGTAGGTAGGTGGATAGTAGATGCATGGGTGTGTAGACAGATTGACAGATAAATAGATAGATAAACAGACAGAGAAAAAGACAGATCTAAAAGCACTCCATGAACTTCATGGGCAAGTAGATAAAAATTAAAAATACACACTTTGTTCTCAACATAAGTTCCATCAAGTGCAAGACACTTTTGTCAGAGATGATACCAGCCATTTAGTCTATCCCTAAAGAATTGAGGGTCCTGGGAATTTAACCATATCAATGTAATCTCTTCTACATTATTAATTGAAAAAAATGGATTCCCTTTAAAGATTTTTTTAAGACAAGGAAACAATAAGAAGTCAGAAGAAGTCAAATCAGGATGGCAAGGTGAATGCTTAATAATTTGCCACCAAAACTCTCACATAATTGCCCTTGTTTGATGAGAAGAACAAGAAGGAACATTGTCATAATGAAAAAGATCTTGCTATTGAAGCTTTCTTGGGCATTTTTCTGCTAAAAATTTGGCTTTCTCAAAACACTGTACTAAATTAGCAGATGCTATTCTTATTTGGACGTTCAGAAAGTCAACAAGCAAAATGCCTTGAGCAGCCCAAAAAACTGTTGCAATGACCTTTGCTCTTGACCAGTCTGCTTTTGCTTTGATTGGACCACTTCCTGCTCTTGGTAGCCATTGCTTTGATTGTACTTTGTCTTCAGGATGGTACATGCTGGTAAAGCCATGTTTCATCTCCTGTCACAACTCTTCTAAGAAATGTTTTAGGATTTTGATCCCGCTTGTTTAAAATTTTCATTGAAAGTTCTGCTTTTGTCTGCAGCTGATCTAGGTACGACGGTTTTGGCACCCATCAACTAGAAAGTGTGCTCAACTTAAATTTTTCAGTAAGAATTGTGTAGGCTGAACCAGTTGAGATGTCTGTGGTGTTAGCTACTGTTTCCGCTGTTAATAACCTAGGCTTTTCAATTAGGAAATGAACAAGATGAATGTTTTCTTCACAAGTGGATGTGGATGGTCTGCCATAGTAGGCTTCATCTTTAAGATCTTCTTGTTCCTCCTTAAAATGAGTTTTCTACTTATAAACTGCTAATTTCTTTGGGGCATTGTCCCCATTCTTTTCATAAAGAATCAATGATCTCACCATTCTTCTACCCAAGCCTCACCATAAATTTGATGTTTGTTCTTGCTGCAATTTTAATAGAATTCATGTTGCTCTGATAGGGCCTCTATTCAAACCAATGTCTTATCCTTCTTAGTGTCTCAAACTAGATCCTGTTCAGACATGTTACAAGAAGTTAGTACAAGTTTATCTTGGTGAAATTTTTTTAAGTGATGCCCAGTTTTTTTCATAATGCACATTTTCCAGGAACTTTTTGAAGACCTCTCAGAAATGTGCAAATTTTTAAAATTATAATTCTGAAAGAAAAATTATAATTGCTATGAGAACAGATTTGACAGTAGATTCTGAAAAAGACTGGTGGGAGGAGGAAGTTCCAACAATCAGAAATACCTAACAATGGAAAAAGCTGACTGGTGAGACAGAAAGTTCCCCATAGCAAGATGAAGATAGGATCAGATGTATTTAAACCAAAGTATCATGACTGACTACTATGGGTTTGTAAAATAAACCTCTGAAAAGCTTGAAACATTGGACTAAATAAATTCAGGAGTCTCGTACAACTCTACACTACTTGTTTCTATAATGGGAAATAAATAAGAGGATTGAATTTAATCATAAATATTAGTAAAGATGTTAAGCCACAAAAAGTGTTAACAAAGACATGCTAGCAGCTGTTTGCATGTATGATGTTATTTCTTATCAAAAGACAGATGCACACTTACGTTCACTGCAGCACTGTTCACAATAACAAAGACATGGAATCAACCTAAATGTCCATCAATGATAGAATGGATAAGGAAAATGTGGTACATATACACCATGGAATACTATGCAGCCATAAAAAAAGAACAAGATCTTGTCTTTTGCAGGGACATGGGTGGAGCTGGAGGCCATTATCCTTAGCAAACTAATGCAGGAACAGAAAACCAAATACCACATGTTCTCTCTTATAAGTGGGAGTTAAATGATGAGAACGCATGGACACATAGAGGGGAAGAACACACACTGGGTCCTTTCAGAGGGTGGAGGGTGGGAGGAGGAAGAGAATCAGAAAAAATAATTAATGGGTATTAGGCTTAATATCTGGGTGATAAAATAATCGGTACAACAAACCCCCATGACACAAGTTTACCTACATAACAAACTTACACTTATGCCCCTGGACTTAAAAGTTAAAAAATATGTTCTTCTTATTATGTAGACATGGCCTACATTCTTAAGGTGTGTAATGTAGGCTTCTTTATCTTAAATATACTAACTGGAAAGCAGTCTGTAAGTAGTCACATTTTGAACTCTATGTGGAATGGGAAACATGCATACAAGTTGGAAAGTGTTCCTACAAAAATCCACTCTAGAAAATAGTAATGTTAAACATTTGTTAACATTACATAATTCAAAGCTCACATGATACTTAATTTCCCCTTTAGACTCTATCCCCACTCTGACCAGCTAGAAAACCGGTGTGATGGAGACAGAAAAGTGGCCATGTGACCTAAAGTCAAATTTGTTTCCTGGTGATATCTTGACGTGTTCAGGAGATACTATTCCAAAGCACCTCATATGTTTATGAAGAGCACCACACATGTTAAGAAGAATGTATAAGACCATGCAACAAAGCTGACTATAATGATAAGTAAG
Organism: Homo sapiens; assembly: GCF_000001405.40. Lineage (NCBI taxonomy): Eukaryota > Metazoa > Chordata > Mammalia > Primates > Hominidae > Homo > Homo sapiens. Next base: position 78,907,185 of record NC_000014.9, on the reverse strand, counting down.
AAAACTAAATCCAAAATTTAATATGCAATCCAATTTCAATAGTAAATAAATAGAAAAAAATAATTAAAGAAACTGCCAATAATTATATGTGTTGAGACTCTGAAAGATATCTTCTACTTTTATGGGGTAGTTTCTTTGTCTGCCCAGCACTGTTTTCCCTACTTCGGTAACAGACAGGAGTCCTTGACTTTAAGGAGTGTATCTCAGCCCAGATTGAGCGAATTATTTTACCATATTCTGTTGGCTGCAGTTATTGCTCCAGAAATGAGCACATGCCCCAAGTCACAGTTAACAAAGCCCTTCCCTATTTTTCTAAAATAGAAAAGTTTTGGCAGAAAAAAAAAACCTTTTCTTTCCCTTCTGTTCATATGGCTATATGTAAGCCTGAATCTACCTAGGCCCCAGCTCCAGCCAAGTGGGAAAAGCAAGTATGAAAGAAGAAACCAAACAGAGAAAATGAATTCAAGTTTCCGAATCTGGTCTTTGAAACCAGCTCAATTTCCACCCTTTGTGCGGCAATTGCAATGGCCTTGCTTGCCTAGGATCAGGGAAAAAAAGATAACTGGAGACAATTCTTTCCCCAAAGAAATATTGTTTGGTAGAAAAGTTATGTCATGCCCATTCACACAGATTGGATGTGGGAGTGAAATAAGTGCCACAAAATAGTAATAAATGGTTAAGGGTGTTCAGAAAAGGGTCTGATTATTTCTAGGGATCAAGGCAAGTTGGTGGTGGAGATGATATTTGAGTGGTGTCAGGAAGGTGTGTAGACACAGAGAAAACTATTGGGAAGGGCAGTCTGGGTAGAAGAAATAACAGAGGAAGTAGATATGGGAAATCATGGGAAGAAAGTAGTGGTAGTTCATTCAGTCTAGTTGGAGTGCAGGGCACAGTGTAAAGAAAAATTCTGGAAAATAAAACTGGAAAATTTAAGTGAAGCAGAATGTAAATAGCCTTTGATGAATTTGCAGTTGATTCACTGAAATTATAATTATATAATATAATGGTGAAATCTCTGCTCCATTTTTACTAAGTATCATAAATCTTTTATCTAAGAGAAAATATGATTGTGCGATAATCAACTTTAACAGATTAGTCTAAATAATGACCAATGCACCAATTTTTATGGGTTAATTTTCTATCAATAACATTAAAAATGTGTTTTTAATTTTATTTAGCCATTCCCCTTATAGAACATAAATTATTCCAGTTTTAGCCACTGCCCTTAAACTTACAATTTTCTATTCCACCAAATCGTATGTTCTTTAATTTTGTTTATCTTGGTTTAAGTAACGATTTTGGTAATCCCCTAATACTGATTCTGAATATAATACTCACATAAACTCTATCCACTTTAGTTTTAGTATTTTCATGTATTCTCTAGAAACTCGACAGATTATGGATTATCTTTCAAATTGGGAAAATATTAATATGCTTTGTAGAAGAGTAACATAACATTTTTTATCATTTTATACATTATAAACCATCAAAATGATTACATTTTACCTTACCAAGATCAAACAGTTAGACTTTTATTCAAAAAAGCTATGACATTAGGTGCTGGGAAAGAAAATGAAAAATGTATTAGTTCTCCTTTGCAAATTGGTAAAATATTAATAGGCTTTGTAGAACAGCAACATTACAACTTTTATCATTTTATACATGATAAACTCTCAAAATGATTACATTTACCAAGATCAAACAGTTAGACTTTTATTCAAAAAAGTTATGATATCAGGTGCTGAGAAAGAAAATGAAAATGTATTAGTTATCCTTTGCAAAAACTAACTGTCCAGTTGGGATGACAAAGTATGTTCCTATAAAATATTCAAATAAAAATACAAAGAAAGAACATATGACTTAGGACCAGGGTGAATGGCGCAGTAAACAGGAAGAACTAAAGTGAAGGTAAATGGTCAAGATCAGGTCTTAAGAATATGATATTTTTGTGTAGGTGTGGAGTAGCTAGGGTGATCCTCTGTAGAACACAGGCTGGGCAAAGGAAAGGAGGCAGAAATAGGCACAGTACACTTCAGAGAATGCAAGGAGTTGGCTCAACTGAAGATGACAGGGTGCAGGCCAAATCCTGAAGAATATTAAACACAAGATGCAATCCACACTGAACTCAATGGCAGAAAGGCACTACAAAAGGATACATGGCCAAAGAGTTAGTTCAGGAGATTAACTGGGTGGTTGTGCAGGATCATGTTGAAAGAGGAAAATAATGGAGTCAGAAGATTAGCTGGAACATGATTACAGTAATACCACATGGTAGGTGAAAAAGACCTAGGTCAGCATTGTGGAAGGGAAAATAGGAATATACTATGAAAAGCCGTGTAGGGAAAGGTCATTCATATTCAGTAACTGATTGGAGACGAGGAAGTCAGGAGAACTATGGAAAAGAGAAGAGGAAATAAATCAGAGTTTCATTCCTGGCTAACGAAAAGAATAACAGTATCTAGGATAAAAAGGACAAAGCCACAGAGGGAGAAATTAGGAGCAACAGTTACTTTGAATTTACTGGAACGGTCAGCAAATCATTCAAATAAAAATGGCCTCCTGAGAGTTGAAAATAAGAAGCTAGAATTCGAGGGAGAGGTTGAGGTTCTCTCTAGAAATCATCTGTATTTGATTTTTGGAAATCATCTCTATAGAGTTAATAGTCAAAGCCATGAAAATAAATGACACTTAAAGAAATGCAACAGGCGGAAAACAGCAAAGGCTAAGGACTGGTTGGTGTATAAACTCAATTGTCATGAATTCTACCTGGCTTATTATCATAAAACAGGTCTTTTCAACCTCGGCATTATTGACATGTTGGGCTGGACAATTCTCAGTTGTGGTGACTGTCTTGTGTACTCTGAGATATTTAGCAGCATCCTTGGACTCTACCACTAGATGCCAGCAACACCCTCTCTCCCAGTTGTGACAATCAAAATGATGTCTTCTGATATTACCAAATATCCCAAGAAGAAAAATTGCCCCTGGTTGAGAACAACTGCCCTAAAAAATGGCCAGGCTCTGTAAACCAGACTGCCTGATTTTGAACCCAAGCCTGCCTTTTACTATCTGAATAATCTTGACATATCGCCTGATCTCTATGAGTCACAGTTTCATCTGCAAATAGACATAATTGTCCTAATGTCATACTGTGATGGTGAGGATAAGGTGTGACAGTGTGTGTAAAGTGCCTGGCCTCAAAGGAGTGTGCCGTAAATGTGAACTATTGATATACCCTATAAATGGGTAACATCACAAACACTTTGTCTCTCAATGGTCATTCCCTACACATTTACGTGTGCAGAGGCTCAATGACTACTAACAAAGCAAGAAACGCACTTCATTGCATAAACAGCACTTCATTTGAGGCATCATATAAAATTGGGCCACTGGACAAATTGCTCCCAGCATTGTATGTTCTTTTTACCTATTAGTCACATGTCACCAGGGTCCAAAAAGTCATATAAGTATGACACGAGTTTCTTCTTCTGTAAAGTCAATAATAAATAGTAATTTAGTTTAAGAGGAAAGACTAAAGTGTGTAATGATTTAAAAGGCAAAGTCCTAATAAAAAGCTACTTTTTCAGCGAGTTACAAATTTCTGTATCTCCTGAAAAATGTATTTAACTTTTGTTTCCTTTATTTCACCTCCATTCAGGAAATGGGAAGTATGCAATTTAACACATATGTCTTACGCACCTGCACCAAGTATTGTGCTAAGCTGGACTAGAAAGATGAAACTTCAGTCAGACGCAGTGGCTCACACCTGTAATCCAAGCACTTTGGGAGACTGAGGCAGGCAGATCCCTTGAGCCCAAGAGTTTGAGACCAGCCTGGGCAATGTGGCGAAACCCTATCTCTACAAAGAAAATAACCAGCTGTGGTGGCATGAGCCTATAGTCCCAACTACTCAGGAGACTGAGGCGGGAGGATCTCTTGAGCCCAGGACATCAAGGCTGCAGTGAGCTATAATCACACCACTGCAATCCAACCTGGGTGAAAGATCAAGACTCTGTCTCAGAAAAAAAAAAAAAAAAAGAAGATGAAACTTCATTGTTTATTTCCTCAGAACATAGGTAGGGAGAAGAGAAAGGGAATGACCAAGGCAATGTAAGAGCTCAGTACAAAGTGGAAACTTGTGGAGAGCAGGAGTTGAGGGAAATCACGGCCAAGCTTCACAGAGAGAATAACATTTTATCTGAAATGAAAGAATTACCTTGAAAAGGATGAGATTTGCAGGAGGATAAGAGGCAGTACATATGTTCCAGACAGAGGGAACTATGGTGTGCACAGTCACAGATCCATGAGCAACATAGTTACATATTATACATATATATATAATATTTAATATATGTATTTCCTGAATATAACTATGTTATATTTAGGTAATTGTAATCATTTAGTATTTCCAGAGCATAAAATTCAAGGTGGGCAGCTGTAGGGTTGGCTCTGGACTCAGTTAGACAAGGATAGATCTTTAAGAGCCTTGTACATCAGGCTAAAGTATTAAATTTCATCCTATAGTCAATGGGAAACATTAAATAATTTGGACTTCGTTGTTCATATATTTAGATCAAGAAAAAATGTTTTAGAATTAGGGGCTAATCTTTATTTATAACTTCTCCTCCTCCCCTTCCTCCTCCTTCATCTCCTTTTATTCCTCCTCTGCTTTTATTTCTCCTCAAGCACTCTACTACTTTGAATCTTTCCAAGAAAACATTAAATGACATTTGAAAATACCTTATTTTAAAATAGCTTCATAAAATGCACTTTATAATCTAATACTGTTATCACAGATAATTTGAAATCAAACAAATATGAAAAACAAATACATAAGTGGTGACCAAACACATCCCAGGTTAAAACATAAATTAGAAATAAGGTCTTAAAGTCAAATATAGAAACTATTCCTTTCATGGAGTAATTTGGCCACAGAAAGTGAGGCGTGTCTATATGTTGCCATCAGGGGGCGCTCGGATGTGAGATTCTGCACAAGGCCTCATTGAGATGCCTGTGCCAGAAAACAGAATTCTTTTGCAAATCCCTTTGCTCACTTGTCTATTTCGATCAAAATACTTCAGTCTCACAGAAATAATTTAGCTGATGCCAAAGTCTATTTACCACACTACAAGGTAGATCGGTACTGATGCCTGGCCTTCATGCTGGAATCAAACTCTCAGTCCCTATTTCCAGCCCCCTTGCATACCCGACAACCTTCAAATAGGTTTCAAGTAAGATGGATTGCTGGCTCAGCCTGCCGTTTCTCCTCCATCCTGAATATTTGAGAGAAGAAAGGAAAAAGATGAAGCAACAGAGTAAGAAAGGAAATTCTTGCTCAGACTTTTAAAACTTGCTGAGGATTCAGAAATTAACTGGAGCTAAGAGGCACCCCAGGACAGTCAGACATGGTTACAAGTAACTCGAACCCAGACAGAGGAGGCAGCCTGTGCCCCATCTGGCCCACCTTGAAGCTGGGTCTGAAGCAAGGAAGGAAAGTGACCAGGAGCTTCCTTACCTGTCATTAACACAATTAATTTGTTTGGCATGTGAGGTATTATAGAAGGGGACATGAAATTCTGAATTATCATCAAATATAAAAATAACAGCAGAATGAACTGCAGTTGACAATAACTTTGATAGAGATCATATCATTAAGTCTCAAAATGATTATGTTTTACCCAGGTCACATACTTATAGACTTTTATTTCATAAGCTATGACATCAGAAAGATGTCTGATGTCATGGTGGAAAGAAATGAAAAATTCCTAAGTTCTCCCTTGAAAACACTGTCTAGTTGGGGTAATACATACATGTAAAATATTAAAAGAGAAATACAAAGGGAAAGCAGGTGAGTTAGAGCCAAGATATGTGATAGAGAAAAAAGAAAGAATAAAAGACAATTTAAATGGTCCAGGAAATCATGAGGTTGGATCCATAGAGATGGACACATGGAAAAAAAAATGGTTCAAGAAATACAGAGAAAATTAGATACAAATCCCCCATCAAGGGTTACCTGAGCCTGAGATGGGGAATGAATTGATGAATAAGGCATTTTAAAGGTATCATGAGCAGAAGCAGATAGAAAAAAATATTTTTATGTCATTTGTTTTTGCTGGGAGGTAGGTGAGAAAAGGGATGGAATATTATTTCTAGCTTATAGGGAAAAGAGCTAGGGCTTTTGATGTGACCAGACTGAACATCCTCATTCAGCCCACATGCCCTAGTGATGTTGGGCGAGTCATTTGATGTCCTTGGACTTGTGTATCTGTCAAATGGGCTCATCAAACCTAGCAGGCTGACTTATTTTGAGGAATAATGAGATGATTTATGAAGAGACCCTAGTAAGAGCAAGCATTCAATATGCAGTACAGTTCAATCAATTTATTACAGTGATGTCAAGAATAGATAATTTTACCCTTCTCTTTCTCAGCCCTTCTCCCTACTCCCTGGACTAATCCAAACTTGAGGACATGGTATTTTTATTTTTAGTTCTCAGGAAATCTTTATTTAAAGTGAAGGGCATCTGTAAGGTATGAAAACATTGATAATACTATTTTATTTTTTACAGATTTGTAAAAATTTTAATGACATTACATATATTTGTCTGCATCCCAGACTTTATGGACACCCTTCAGAAGAAGAGAGAGAAAAGGATTTCCAGGCATGTCATGTTTTAAGTTCAAAATTTGAGGCCCCAACTTGGCACCAAACGTAGTAATGATAGATAGTGAAAAAAAAAAAAGAAAAAAAATGAAGGAGGTTGCTGCCTTCAAAACAAGACCAACCTCTCCACAAATGAGAAACAGGACCTAAACAGGACCTGAAGCCACAAACTCACTAGGCTTAGAAGCTGCTAAAGGCTCCAAAGGCCAAATTCCCAGGGGCTTCAAACGCAGGCATTTTGGTCCTGAGATGCCAGCCACAAGCTAAGGGCCCTCTTTAGGTGTCAGTTTACTCATCTATAACAATAGAAAAAAAAATAGAACCCACTGTTTGGGGTGTTGTGATTTTTTAAAAAATGGTGTCAGAACATTTGTAGAACTAAAAATGGAAATGGGCATAGATGGGTTCAAAAATGTTAGTGTCAGTCATTGTAGTTTCTTTGGATGGAGAAAGATTATATATCTCATCAATTAAGTTGGGGAAAACCAAAGTGAAAATAGAAAATGCCAATTATTGAGGAAACAGTGTTCCTAGGTCAGATTCCTATAGCTTTTTGAAGACCAGAAGGAAGAGAAAAAAAAGGTCTGAACACAAGAAAATTTTAGAGGAAAGCTCCACGTTATCTCATCAGAGGAATATCACATCTTTAAAAATGAAAAAGAGAGTTAAAGTTATATAGTTCTAAGTCAGGGTAGAAAAGAATTTGAGGTATTTTCATTCAAATATAAACTTCAAGAAGTAGTACTTTTATAGAAACATTTAAGAGATTTTTTTTAAGTTCACAAAAATGTTTGTACTGAGCAGAATACATTTATATAACATGCAAAATGGTATGTGTCAGCTAAAAGTTTCTTCCTTTTTCTCATGAATGTGAACATTTTGCATTTATTCTGTAAAGAATGTATATTAGCTTAAAATGACAGGTATTCATAATAACCCTTAAGTTCCCAATGCTTAAAAGGTTGCAAATCTCACTAAGAAGAATATTGATGGGGCAAGAATATTGGGGCACTGATCATCCCTGGCAACCATACACACAAAACAACAAAATCTAGTGGGTATCTACTCTGTGCCCACGTGGCAGAAGCCAGGTTTCCCATCTCATAATGGGACGCAGAGGTGAGTAAAATCTTCTCAGGTGAAACTATCTACAGCATCAGGAGGAACAAATTCTTGGGCTTAGGATTGGAGAAAACCAGAACACAAGGCTCCCAATCATATGTGATAGATTCTATTTCATGTCTTGAATTTTTGGGGGAGGGCAAACCCTTGTGAAGTGTTTTCCTTTGTTTTTAGCTCCCTCCCTCTCCTCCCTCTTCTTTTTCTCTCTTCCTGTTTTCCCAAAGCAGAGGATTAGATAAACTAATACAAAGGGATAATTGTTTTCCTATGTGTCTCCAATTCTGCTTCATTCTATCTATGCAGACTGTATTTCCTAGAGAAAAGAGTCCCACTGCTTTTCTCTGGCTCAGAGCTGAGAAATTATGCTTACAGGCAGAATGTGTTCTTCAGTCAAAGCCAGGGTTCTGACCAGCCAGTCTGCTCTTTCTCTCTCTCCCAAGAAGCATGATGGAACCCAGAGCGTGAGGCTACTATGAACCTATTCTAATTTTTAACAATCATTTTATTTTGTAAAATCATTTGTGCTATAATGCTCCACAATTTTTTTCAATATGATGGTTGAGAATGCCTATGCTAGACCAAGATGTTCCCTAAAACTCTAGGATAAATGAATAGGCCAAGTATTTAAGTTTCTTATATAATTATCAAGCATTCCAGTTATTTCCAATCAAGATAATTTGCTTAAAAGATAGATGGGCAAAGTAAATAACTTGTTATAAACAAAAAGTAGAGATGGAATATAGAGAGGAGGAAAATACTATGAATCTATGGAATATAACCGACAGCTTGATATATCAGACACACACACACACACACACACACACACACACACACACACACACACACGAAACCCAGCTGTGCTCTGGAAAGCACCACTTAAGAAACTTATGCATCTCTGCTTAATGTAAATGGTTCCTGTCTCCTTTCTTTTCTCATTCTTGTGCTTTGAAGATGAAATTCAAGAAATCCAACACAATTCGTATCATCACTGTACCTGGGGAGTTCCCATTGCTGGAGTTGTAAGTTCTCTGTGGAAATTTAACCACATTTCAGTCATCCTTCAAAGTCCTTGTTTAAAATAGATTTTAAAAGGCTAGATATTAAAACACCCAATGAATTCTCTCAGTTAATAGTCCCCAGTCCTGAACAAGGGGTACCAATTAGCTTGGGAGCTCTCCGGAAGTTTAACTTCTATGGACTTAATAAATATATCACCAACATTTTCCTTTGCCATGCTGACTCCATTTAGAAATCCTGTGATTATTCCAGCTATTATTACTAGATTTATTAAAAAAGAAGGAAGGGAGAAGAGGTGCTCATTTTCAGTATTTTTGCATATTAGGGAGGCATAGATTTTACATGAGATTTCCTGGTCACATTGCTACATAAAAGTAAGGCAGAATACGTTCTCTAACATCAAAACTGACAAAACTACATGATGTGAGATAAATGCCATGATGTTTCAGTGAGTTACCCATGTAAAAATTATTTTCAAAAGATTGCTAAGCATAAATTAATAAGGTATATGCCATCCATGGAAGGCCAAGGAAGCCCTGATGATGAAACAAAACCAAGCAAGGAATTTATACATGTGAAATAATTCTGGATTAATTATGTTTTCCTCTTTTCACCCCAATCTGAAACTAGTGAATAATTTATAGGTGCAAGAAAGGAAGCTCCCTACGCATTACTTGGGATAAATGTGTAATGCTTGAGAACTGGGTGCTGGCCAGGACAGAGTGGAGGTGGAGGAGTCTGTGAAAATAGAAATAGGACTGCCAAAAACGTTTGAGAAGTGCCATGGCCAGAGTCCATCAAGATCCTGTCACTCCCAGTGTCACCCCATTCTGTGCCTCACTGGACATCTTATCCAACATTTCTCCAAAGTGGCCTTTCTCATAACTGTAGCTTTGTCCTCTGAATCAATTCTAGGGATAAGCTTTTCCTGATGTTTTTCAATGTCTCTCCCCTGAAGAACAGGATGTGGTCCAGAGAACCACTCTCTGATTATTTTCACATTGGTCTTGTCAAAAAAAAAGAAAGAAAAAAAAAGCAATATCTCCTACTGTTACTGTGATGTCTTAACAGAAATATGCATTTTTTCATTCATTCAAATATTTGTGACATGCAAGATGCTGCTCTATAAGCATCTTTGTTTCCAATGATCGCCCATTACAATCTTGGATGGCCCATCACGGCACAAACAAACACTTTATGAAACACTTTATTAAAGTGAATCCTGACATCGGTAAAATTTCTGTAAAAAGTCATATATCAAATATTTTCAGCTTGTAGGCAGTCTCTGTCACCACTATTCAATGCTGCCATTGTAGCATGAAAGCAGCCACAGACAATACATAAGTGAATGAGTATGACTGTATTTAAATAAAACTTTCTTTACAAGATCAGACAATGGGATGGATTTGGTCCACAAATCATAGTTTGCCAAACTCTGCTCAAAGCCATGAATGGTTACCCACTGCTTACCAAATTGAATCCCCTGTCACCAATTCTGCCCAATTTACTTTTCTAACTATGTTCTACCATTTCCCGTCATCTCCATTCCCTCTGAATGCTAACAAATACTCCATGTATTATTCTATTTCTATGCTGTTTGCTCTGCCCATAATGTTCCTCTCCTCTTTCCAACTTATTGATAAACATTCAATTTTTCATTCTTCCTTTAGGTGGCTTCCATAGATTTTTAGCAAGTGGAATTAGGCTCTCTCTTCTCTTTCTACCAATGCATTTTGCCTCTCTATAAAAGCTCCTATTACCCTCTGCCATGTGAAATATATAATGTTGATCTCTCTTCTCCCTCAATTCTCAACCAATCTCTGGAAGCTAGTAATCAGATCTCCATTTTCCTTTGTTAACTTCACAGCCTTCAACATGAAACCCTAGGCATCATTGTGGAGCTGAATATACTAGGACGCATTCAAGATAGTGTCTGTGCTTGAATTATTGGAATCATAAAATACGTAATAGTAATCACCATGTTTAACTAATTCTATTATTATTATATTATTTTACAAGATGGAAGAGATAAGCTTCTTATGCTGAAATAAAAAATATGTTTTACTTTCCCTAGTGGACATCAAATGCCCTGTTCAGAGCTTATATAATTTCATATTAGTTTAAAATGATTTTACTAGGCAATGCCATGCAATCAACTCTATTTAAAAGCCTCTTCAAAGAATAGGAGAGAAACCTATCACAAGCATACCTAGTTTTTTTGTGCTTCACTTTTTTGCATTTTACAACAATTGCATTTTTAAAAACAAATTGATGGTTTGGGGCAACCGTTGGTTGAGCAAGTCAATCCACACCATTTTTCTAACTGCATGTGCCTGATTCATGTCACTACATCACATTTTGGTAATTCTCTCAACACGTAAAACTTTTTCATTATTATTATATCTGAGATGGTGATCTTTGATGAGTGATCTTTGATGTCATTATTGTAATTCTTTGAAGGCAACACAAATCATGTCCATATAAGATGGCCAACTTAATAAATGTTGTGTGTCTTCTGACCGCTCAACTTACTGGCCATTCTCACATTTTTCTTCCTCTCCTTGGGCCTCCCTATTCCCTGAGACACAATAATATAGAAATTAGGCCAATTAATACTCCCACAAAGGCCTAAGTATTCAAATGAAAGGAAGAGTCTCATATCTCTAACTTCAAATCAAAAGCTAGAAATGATTAAGCTCAGTGAGGCATGTTGAAAACTGAGATAGGCTGAGATCTAGGCTTCTTGTGCCAAACAGTTAACCTAGTTGTGAATGCAAAGGAAAAGTTCTTGAAGGAAATTAAAAGTGCTACTCCAGTGAACACACAGATGATAAGAAAGTTAAACAAGCTTATTGCTTATATGGAGAAAGTTGTAGTGGTCTGGATTGAAGATCAAACCAGCCACAACATTCCCTTAAGCCAAAGCCTAACCCAGAGCAAGGCCCAAACTATTTCCAATTCTATGAAGGCTAAGAGAGGTGAGGAAGATGCAGAAAAAAGTTTAAAGCTAGAAGATATTGGTTCATGAGGTTTAAGGAGAGAAATCATCTCTATAACATAAAAGCACAAGGTAAAGCGGCAAGTGCTTATGTAGACGCTGCAGCAAGTTATCCGTTACATCCAGCTAAGATAATTGATGAAGGTGACTACACCAAGCAAGAGATTTTTACTGTAGATGAAACAGCTTTATATAGGAAAAAGATGCCACCTAGGACCTTTATAGCTACAGAGGAGACATCAATACCTGACTTCAAAGGGCGGGCTGACTATATTGTTGGGGGCTAAGGCAGCTGGTGACTTTAAGTTGAAGCCAATGCTTATATACCATTCAAAAAATCCTAGGGCCCCAGAATTTAGCAAAATCTACTCTGCCTGTGCTCTGTAAATGGAACAACAAAGCCTGGATGACAGTACATCTATTTACAAAATGGTTTACTGAATACTTTAAGCCTACTATTGAGAACTACTGCTAAGGAAAAAAAAAAGATTTTTTTTTTTTTCAAAATGTTACTATTCATTGACAATGCACCTAGTCACTCCAGAACTTTGATGGGAGTACAAGAAGATTAATGTGGCTTTCATGTCTGCTAACGTAACATCCATTCTCTAGCCCATGAATCAAGGAATAATTTCAACTTTCAAGTCTTATTATTTAAAAAATACACTTTGTAAGGCTAGAACTGACATGGTGATTCCTCTGATAGATATGGATAAAGCAAATGGAAAATTTTTTGAAAATGATTTAACATTGTAAATGCCATAAAGAACATTCGTGATTCATGGGAGAAGTTTGAAATATCAACATTAACAGGAGTTTGGAAAAGATTCCAATCTTCATGGATGGCTGAAGGGTTCAAAACATCAGTGGAGAAAGTAGATGCAGATGTGGTGGAAGTAGCAAGAGAACTAGAACTAGAGGTAGAAACTGAAGCTGTGACTGAATTGCTGCCATCTCATGATAAAACTGGAATGGATTTTAAGAGTTGCTTCTATAGATGAGCAAAGAAAGTAGTTTCTTAAAATGGAATTTTCTCCTGGTAAAGATGCTGTGAACATTGTTGAAATGACTACAAAGGATTTAGAATATTCCATAAATTCAGTTGATAAAGCACCTGCAAGTTTTGAGTGAATTCATTCTAATTTTGAAAGAAGTTCTACTGTGGGTAAAATGCTATCAAACAGCATCGTATGCTACAAAGATATCTTTCATAAAAGCAAGAGTTAATTGATAAAGCAAACTTCATTGTTGTCTTATTTTAGGAAATTGCTACAGCCACCCTAACCTCCTTCAGCAACCACTACCCTGATCAGTGAGCAGCCGTCAATATCAAGGCAAGACCCTTCACAAGTAAGAAGATTATGACCCACTGTATGCTCAGATTATCATCAGCAATTTTTAGCAACACAATACTTATAATTAGGGTATGTACATTTTATTTTAGACATCATTCTATTGCATACTTAATAGACTATAGAGTAAAAATAACTTTTATATGCACTGGGAAACCAAACAATTTATATGCTTGCTTTATTGTGGTATCTGCTTTATTGTGGTGGTCTGGAACTGCACCCACAATATCTCTAAGGTATGTTTTTATCTGGACACTTTATACTAGACTGAATAAAGGACTTCTAAATTTCTCAGCTAAGTAAATTCGCACCCTCAAAAAATCCAAAATTGAGAAAAATAAAAATGTGTAACAAAGATCCTGGAGTGTTAGATGAGACATGCTCAAGAAGGCTTAATGGTTTTACTATTAATTCTGCAATTCCATTAGGATGTGGGGAAGATAAATGAGATTGTTTCATTAGGGTCTAGTGGAGCCTTCCAGCAAATAAGCTAAATGATTATCAGTACTTCTGGTCTTCACGACTCAATCCCTCCCCAGTTTGAACATTATAAATCACAGTGACTTTACCAATTGACTTTCACCTTCTTCAACCAACAGGAGATTCGGCATGGACTCTCCCACCACCATTATGAAAGATACAGAGAGAGATTAGTCAATAGAAGGAGAACAAGCTGGCTGAACCAAAGATTGACTAAAGATCAGAGCAATGAAAGAGAAAAGAGGAGGAATTTTTTAAAGGAATAAACCAACTCATCCACCTGCTCTTGCAAAGCAGGGAATCAATTATGCCAACAAAGGGAGGCACAATGAAAATTGCAGAGAGAAAGCCCATGAATGAATGAGCTTGCGCAGGGTGTGGATAGATTGAAATATACAGGCTGACCCAGGGGAAGAGAAAGATGACGCAAGTGGATGGCAAAGAAAAGGAAGGTGGGTGGCCAAGCAGGTGCCCACAATGCTGGGCAAATAGGAGCAATCAGGGGTAGGGACAGAATTATTTCCCTTCCAGAGAACTCCCTTTTGATGCTGAACTAGTTGAGACGCTGGAATTAGTATCAGAAGAGGCCACCTGCACCACTTCAGAGCACAGTCATCCTTCTGATTGCTACATAACAAAGAATGCACTAGCAAGCAGCAACATTTTTTCTTTGTTTTTATGCAGCTTCCTAAAGCCCAGCTGAATTCAAAAGCAGCCGTGTGACTCCTTCTTAGCAAACACCACACACACACACACACACACACACACACACACACACAGAAGATGGGGGCATTACCGAGTTGTTGAAATTAAGTTGCCTGCTGTGTCAGAATAGTCAAGAAAGAGCAGAGATAACATGATTCCAGCCATAACCTATAGATAATTCTTAATGGTGAAGTGATTTTAATGAGGAAGAAAAGACTGATTTACAACCATCAAGTTCTGTTAATATGAACTCAGTACAAGTGCTGAATTACATTCACTGGGTAAGAAAAAAAAAAAAGGAAGGTAGTTTTGATCACACTTCTTCCCCACTCAGAAACCTTCAATGACTGCCAATGTCTTTCAGAACAATGTCTAAACTCACAAGCGTGTTGCTCAGGGATTTCCACTGCCTGATTTTAATCTGGGTTTTCATCCATGGGCAGCCTATCTGCCAACTCAAACGAGCTAAGTTGACTTCCTCTCTTCTCTTTGACTTTATTTCCCTTCTCTGTTTCTATCAGCCAAAATCTACCTGTTCTCCAAGACTCTGCTCAAATACAATCTCTTTCTTCAAGCCTTCTCAGATGTCTCCACGTGAAAGTAATATTTAGCATCCTTTAGCACATTAAAGCGTTCCTGTGCCCAGTGGTTCTGAAATTTTAACGTGCATCAGAGTTCCCTGGAGGACTTTTACAACCATAAATTGCTAGACCCCCAGCCACAGTTTCTCATTTAGCAGGTGTATGGTGGGGCACAAGCATTTCCATTTCTAACAAGTCCCCAAGTGATGCCAACACTGCCGAGCCAGAGACCACACTTTGAGAGCTGCCACCAGAACAAGACTGAGCATGTCTCACTTCCCCTTATAAAGCTTCTTGGGAACAGAAAAGAATTCTGTCTTTGTATTTCCATAACTCTTCAGCCCAAGTTTATATTCAGTAGATACTCAACAAATATTTATCAAATTAAATGTGTGTGCGCCTATTGCTTCATGTATGTTTGTGTATATACATTCATATTCATTTAACAAATATTTATTGCAGACGCATACATTTGAAAAATGCATGTGTATGGTAAGAATATTTAAAGTTTAAGCAGGTTTCTTAATCATCTCACATTTGGCAAGCTAAAGGAAAATATGAATATGCTATGATCCATTTTTCAAATGTGTTCTGCAGAAGAGCACTATTAAAATTCAATAGGAAGCTTTATTTGAAGAGTGTCCATCTGTGTTCATTTGTGGTGAATATAATGAATCTCTCACTCTGTCTGAATTGTCAGTTAACCCATGTAATATATTGCCTCAGCTTCAAGACAGGGAAGCGTGGGAATTTTATTTCTCATGTCATGGATGTACAGTGAGCTCCCTGACGTCACTGTAGACGTTACTCACACCTAAATACTCACTAAGTCTCCAGTATACCACCCATACCTATCAGTAATGCATAAAAACACAGACGCTATAGTCATCATGCCAGAGTTCAGATTCTGGCTCTGCTCACTACTAGAGCATGACCTCAGACAAATTGCTTATCTTCTCTAAGTTTTAGTTACTTCATTAGTAAAATATGGACAATAATTACAGCTTCCTGATTGTTATAAATACTGAAGGAGTAAATACATTGAGAAGGCTTACTTGGCCCAACCAAGAAGCTGCCACTGGTGCACTATTGTATCAATATTGGACAGACGTGGCACCCTCCCAGAAAGATCACACCATCCTGTCTTATGTGGGCTTAGAAGTCTTATTCCACCCAGTTACCATCTGAAGTCACCACCAACTAAGCCAGACAAAATTAACAAATGTAACTGTTAATATTGTAAACTTTTATGGTACTTAAAAATTACCTATACTACTTATTACCGTTGGTGCCTTACTTTTAGCATATTTTGGGAGCAAAATGGTATGATGGCAGCATTTTGATTAGGGAGACGAAGGCTGCTTCAGTGGCTTCTGTTATTGAATGATTGCTAACACCACTCAAATCCATCCCACAGCCAGAAACTCATTTTGCCCCCAAACACCTTAACCCATGACACTGAAATTATGAATGCCTGAAGATAATTCTGGTTTTTCAACTTGTGAAACTAGATACCACTTCTTCCAAATTCCTTGATTTACTCTATCACCATCAGTGGGATCTATAGGATTGGACCTTCCCTTTTGTTATTACAATATTATTACTTATGTTTGTAACTGGAAAATGTCAAGTTTATAACCATTTACTACTAGATAAGAAAAGAAGAGGCTATAGAAATGCAGACCTCCTTTCTGCTTGTAATTTTAGTGATGTTGTAGCCCAGTGTGGGCAGGAAGATATATTTCCTCTGCTGGGAGAACATTGGTCCATGAGAAATTGGCATTTGTTTCATGAAATGGCCACCTACAGTTAAACCTTTGCATGGGATGTTAGAGTAAAATTAAAATTACAGGACACAATGTGTGCTTAGATTATTTATATTATTATAAACATAACTGACACATACCAGGCAATGATATTTTCATAATTCAGTGCTTCTGGACTGACTGTATAGTAACAATCACACTTTCAATAAGAGGTGTTTTTTATACTAAATTTCCACAAACTTCTGATGCTCTTGTATAATTCATGTATTTTGTAGATTATCCTGTTCCTTGTTGTATTCGTTTCTCATGGCTGCCATTAAAAAATTACCACAAACTCACTGGCTTAAAACAACAGAAATTTTTTTCTCTCTCAGTTTTAAAGGCCAGAGTCGGAGATCCAAATGCTGACAGGGTCACACTCCTTCTGAAGGCTTTAGGCAACAATCCAATTCTTACCTCTTCCAATTTCTGCTGCCTATGGGCATTCTTTCTGGTTATATCCCTCCAATCTCTGCCTCTGTCTTCACATGGCCTTCTGTTTCACAAGTCTCTACGTCTTCTCCTCATCTGTCTCTTACAAAGATAGTTTTCACTGGATTTAGGGCCCACCTGTACAATCCAGGATGATCTCATCACAAGATTATTAACTTAAACATCTGCAAAGACCCTTTTTCCAAGTAAGGTCACGTCACAGGTTCTGGGAACACATGTTTTTAGGGGACACCTATCTACCTCCCACACTTGCAGTAAACAAATGTGGTATGTGTGTTTTACCTCCCTGCTGCTGTACTGCAGAATCCTTGAGGCCAGAGCTTTGTCTTCTGTATTAATGATTCTACCAGGTACTCAGTGCTCAGTACTCAGAGTACCAGCTCTTATCAGGTACTCTTTAAATTTGTGTTGAGTAAGTAAATGTACATATAATTTTAGAACATTATTGCAATGTCTACATTGTAACAGCAAGTACTAAAAAATATTCAGAAAACTGAGAGGTAGCCATTCCCAAAATCATGAAAGGAGCTAGCCACAGATAATATCAAAATCAGGGATGCAGTTGGTGAAGTAAAGCAATCAAGTGCAAAGGAAATAAGGTCATGATCCCAAACTCAAATCACACACCAAGTGCAATGCTTCTCTGAAAGCAAAACTGCACTCAGCAGGTCAATAGCCATTTACAGAAAGATGGAACCACTTAGGAAAATGTATCTAGACATTTCCCCAGTGAAGAGATGGATAATAAAATTTTAAAGGATTTACAGAGAATTAATCTTATTTGTTCTTCCCCTTTGAACAAGGTCTTTTGCTTGTCATGTTAAATATCATAAGAAATGGAATGATGATGTGAAAATCGGATTCTAAAAGTGACAACAATTAAACTAGTCCTGCATCTTGCTATGTATGATTTAGAAAATAAAAGTCAATATTTTTATCATACTGTACAATTTCTAAGGTATTTTCTCAGATGAGATTCCATCTGACATAATCAATAGCCTTAGGATATAAGATATCTCCCATCTTATAGATGAGAAAATACATTGAAAAATTAAGTGACTTGCCCAAGGTCACACCATTATAAACAAAATAGGCAGATATCGACTTCAGCGTTGTTCTTCTCATGCCAAATCTGGGGTGTGTGTGTGTGTGTGTGTGTGTATGTGTGTGATTACTCTCCCAACTAGACTGTAAGTCCCCACAGGTATCTGTCATCTGCATCAGTGAAGCTACCAGGTAATTTCTTATACCTGGCTGTATGGGTACATTACAAGCCATCTTAAAAATCTAATTCATAAAAATTGAATTTTCTTCACAAAAGGGAAGAAACTGATAATAACTTTGAATAAACTTTGTGGGTTCCAATAAAGACAAATATGAAGAAAAACTGACGTGGGTGAGGAACGAACCAGGGAATAGAGGAAAAGTAACACACTGCTCGGCACTTCTCCATGCCTTCAAAGAAAAGGAAAACTTAGTTTCCCTGACAGTAGGAAAATTTTTGTTTTAAAGTTCTATTTATCATTTGGTAACAAATTGTCTTACATTGTTTCTAGGACACTACCCCCTAACAAACCATAAGTTTCCAAAGGACAGGTATTATGTCTTAAATAAGCAGTTAATGTCTGCCCTTCACAACTCTTACTCCCCAAACTCATTCTGGATACTCAGAATTCAATAATTTGCTGTCAACTTAGAAACAGAACAGATTCTCTTAATTGTTAGGAGTCTCCAGAAAACCTCCTTTAGGGGACATGGACTTCCTACATCTGTCATGTTGCAGATCATGATCCCATTGTTCACCAATGTTTCCTAAATAAATCAAAGCCTGAAGGCCTCCAATATGAAGCTGAATGATGAACTATAACTTGGCAGCTGGAAATTAGGCACAAATGTTCTTTCTGAAATGTCAGTGCATATCTGGCTTTTAGAAACATCTTTTTAAAGGACTATTGCAATTTGAGCTTGGTCTGCCACTCCCGAATGCCAAAATATCAGAGCCAGATCATACCCAGATGATTTAATAAATAAAGACGGCCCAGAGGCCACTTCTAGGAAGTCAGAGGCAACAGGACAAGAATCCAATCCCAGGCATTCTGGATACACAGAGACTTCAGCAGAAGAGCTCCTGGCCACCCCAGTGAGATGCTGTTTTCAGTTTCCTTCAGACATAAAAACTGCTGCTTATCGTCACCCATGCCACTTCCTTCTCCAATGAGCCTGAATTAGAAATGAGCTGGAAATCCTCCCCTTCTTTTTGTTAGAAGCCATTTCTTTCTTCTTTCCAGGATCTGTAGAGGAGAGAAGTTGGCAGCAAACCTTGGGTTTAAAAAATGTTTACTCGTATTTTAGAAAATCTGATAAAACTTATGGACCTAATCTTCATAATAATGCAATGTTCAAAACTTAGGAGGTCCCTGGAATGTCTATAGCACATTCAGGAAAACCCTGAGGTTCTTGAATACTGGGGGAAAAAAATCAGGCATCCATGCACTTATGTTTGAGTCCAGCCTCACCAAACATTTTGAAGAGTTATCAGGTTGGTGCAAAAGTAACTCCTGTTTTTGTCACTGAATGTAGTGGCAAAATTTTACTACTAAAAGATCTGTATACATCCCTCTTTCCAGAAAAAAAAAGAAAGATAAAATAATCTTTCTCTCTCAATAGCCTAAACAAATCATCAGCCTAAGTGGTGATTACACAAGCTTTGAGCTCAGTCAAAACTGTATTTGAATTCTAGCTCTGCCTTTTCCTAACATGTCTGACCTTAGACAAGTTACCAAATCTATCTGAACATAATTTTCCAAATCTCTAAATATCTAATAGGGCTGATGTGATGAGTAAAAGAAATAATAGTTCTAATAATATTGGTACAGTGTCGAGCACACAGTTGTTAGTGCTAAATAAATGATTGGCACTATCATCACCATCGCCATCAGAAAGAACACAGTTGAGATGTAAGTAGGATTGGAGCACATTAAATATACAAAGACTAAAGAGGCTTACAGGAAAACTCTTGAAACTCTGTGAAACACAAAACGAAGTTAGACATCCTCCACCACTACAGTATCCAGTTTACCATAACACAGATCTTAGGTTATGGTATGATTCACAGCAAAACTTTAGAGAATTTTCACCATGAAGTGGTCTTTCCTGTGCAGAATCCCACAGCCTGGGCCATTGGGGCAGCAATTCTGTCAAGGCTGGGGTATCACTAGCACAGATTAAACCCAAAGGCACAAAGAAGGATATTAAACTTCCTGAAGTGGCTTGTCCATGCCTAGTAGATGAACTCAAAATGATTCTTTAGTCTTTCATAAGACTGTTAAATATTTTAATGAAATCAGTAATTTAGAAATGTTTACTAATACTTTATATTAATGTTTTTTCCTTTATTCCCATTATGACTTTCCCCAAGGTTAAATATGTCTTTGATTCTTCAATCACTTATCATAGAATCTAGCTCAAATTAAAGACTCTAAAGTGTTTGGGATCAGAAAAAAAGAAAGAGATATAAAAGAAGCAAGAAAAAGAGAAAAAAGGAAGGGAGGAAGAGAAGAAGGCAGAGAATATGTGTTTGATCACTCATGATATTTATTGAATATCATGAACTCTGTATCAGGTACTATATATACTGAATATATACTGAACTCTGTATCAGGCACTATATACAATAATGGATGAGACAAATGAACACATACTGTTCAGTGTTTTTATTTCTTTTTATTTGATTGCTTCTTTACTAGGAATTAGAAAAGGAGATAAAAACAGACATTATTACTATGGATCTGAGTAATAAGGATATGACACAGATCATTTACTGTCCACCAAATATTTGTGCTCCTTTTCCACAGGACTGAGTTAGTGCAACAAAGCAATGCCAGCCAGACTACATTTCCCAGCTTCCCTTGCAACTAGGTACCCTCTGACTAACTTCTGACCAATGAAATATGACCAAAAGTGATGCTTGTCATTTCCAGAGATGTTGGCTAGCTGGATTTGGCTAGAACCATCTTGGAAGGCCTGTGTGGAAGATGACAGAGGCTCTGTCACCTTGGATCCTCTATGACTCTATAGAGCAAACCCTCACATCCCTTCCTCTGCTCCTAATTGCTTGGGCTTTATGTGAGTGAGCAATACTAATACCAAAATTAAACTCTTTTCTTGGGCTAGTTTGCTGAGGTTTAGGAGGGTGGTTTATTAGCTAGTGTTTACTCTAGCTAACATAGGAAGTAGAAATCTTATTATAAATTCACTTTTAAAATAGCCTAAGATATATCTTCTGTTCATTAATAATAAGATCAAACCAACTGTCTAAGCTGTCAAGATTCTTTGCTTTTGGATTACAATTTTACAAAGTCAGCATAGTAATGCTCAGACATTCTCATCTAATGCTCTATTAAGCTGCTGATGACATCATACAAATTTGGAAAGACAACTGGTAGACTGTTACTGCAACTACAGGTAGGGTGGTCAAAGAAGCTGTTATTCACTTAAAAATAATTATTTTAATGGGAGAATAAAGTAATTATTATGTATTAAATGCAATTTGTTTGGCGGTTAAAATCACTTCAAAACACCTTTAATTTAGTTTCATTTGCAGATTTTAATCTAAGGCTTTTAAATCAACACTCCCCTTATACAACATGAAACTCTCTCCCCTACCCTTTTTTGTAGGTCTTATTCTATTACTGATAATATTACTGATAATGTCTTCTAAAAATTGTAACCACATTTAATGAATGCTCTTTATGAGTCAAAACATGGCTATGTACTTTTTACATATGTAATTTATATTTATATATTTTACATACATAATTTATATAATGTATATTTATATATTTTACATATGTAATTTATATTTATATATTTTATATATGTAATTTATATTTATATATTTCACATTATGACACTTGTAAACTCACTGCATTATATTTTACAATCCCTACTTTATAAATATGATCATTGCTGTTTATTAAAGTCAAATAATCTGATTAAGTTCACCTACCTAATAAGTGTAGGAGCTTTAATAATAGCAGACAATATATACTGAATGTTTCCTATGTGTCAGGTACGCTTTAATACACTATCACTTTGTTAACTTCATCTTCCTAACTCTAGGTAATAGGTACTATTATTGTCCTTTTAGTAGAAATGAGAAAACTGAGACCCAGAGAGTTTCAGGGCCTTGTCCAAGATTGCACAGCTAGTTAGTGGCTGAGTTAGAATTAAGACATAGGCTGTTTGGCTTCAACTTTCCCTTCACCACTTCACTAACCACAATGGGGCATGTGAATTTACCCTTGATTAAAGAGAATGTATTAATATAACTTAATTTTGGTTTAGAATAATGCAGGGTGTGAGTCAACTCATTTTATCACTATGTAAGTATCTTTTTTAAATCCTGAATTTAAAATTAATAGGAAAATAAAGTGCCACAGATCCAAGTTGGATAGGTAGATAGTCTTATCATATCTAGAAACCTAAACAAAATATATAGTAATCCTATCAGGATCAGAAAGGTGAACAGTTGTGGAAATGTCAGTGAGTTTGCCCTTAGGAGGAAGTTGGAAGGGTTACAAAAACTGATGTGGGCAGGAGTGCAAACAAAGTTCATAGATCAAATACCCAGAAGATATTTTGTTGGTGGTAATTGCTATCCACCGACACTGCTGTTTTCTTTAAACTATCTTCCATATCCCAGGATTAAAAATCAATGTTATTTATTTTTAAAAAATAAGCAAAAATACCCAAAAAATAAATGCTTTCTGCTTATGAAAGGCAGTAAATGAGAGAAAGTAAGGGTGGGTCACTGGTGACATATAACACAGAGATTTGTTCTGGGATTCAAACAAGATTTTAAGAGCAATTAGAAACCATTAGGAGAAGAACTTTCTTACAGTAACAATGCCATGATTAAATGAACTGAAGAAAACTAAATGGAGTTTTTATTTTAAGGGATACATTAGCATTATACAAAAAGTAAAGGAAACAAGATTTAATCATGGAACTATTCGTCTGAATCACTCAATGACACTTGACCATTACTAATCTATCCTCTTTACAAAAGAAATTTAAAGAACTAATCTATCCAACTATAAAAGGGGTACTATATACTTACCATGTATTAAAAGAAATCTTTCCCCCAGAAAACTATATCATGCAACAAATTCATCACAGGTGACTTCAACCAAAGCTGAATTGAGACTAATGTATCTGAAATGAACAAACCTGGGCTGGAGTAAGCTCTCTGCATTTTCTGAGTATGTGATCTTAGGCAAGGCACTTAACCCCTTTAACTCTCAGTTAAAATTAATGCAAAGTGAGTGCAACCCTAAAATACACAGACATCACATGGTTCAGTCTCTGAGCTGAGCCTCATCCAAAAGGACAACCCAATACCAATAGAAACATAAGAGGAAATTATTCCTCACTCAAGTACCTTGAAGGATATTAGAAGTAATCTGACACACAGTCTAGATGAACACTATTTTTGCCTTCTGTTTTCCCAGCCTGACTTTACTCCCTTTATATACTTCCACTGCTACGGTGCCTTCACTTTTAAAATTGCTGAGAACCTCCTGTTCCACTTCCAGCTCTGTGCTTTTGGTTCCTCCTCTATAATTCATTTATTCTCTCACTCACTTATTAATTATCTCAATTAACTTAGTCTCTCTTCCAGTCACTCTTCTTTACAGAAGGTGAAAAGAATTTGGGCTGTTGAGCTGGAATAAAGAAGATGTCTGTAAACACATCTACATTAATATATTTTGTTATATCACATGAGAATAATAAGGCTTATATATTAGTTTATTCTCACACTGCTATGAAGAAATACCTGAGACTGGGTAATTTATAAAGGAAAGATCTTTCATGGACTCCAGTTCACCAGGGCTGGAAAGGCCTCAGGAAACTTACAATCATGGCAGAAGGGGAAGCAAACATGTCCTTCTTCACATGGTGGCACCAGGGAGAAGTGCTGAGCAAAAGGGGGAAAACCTCCTTATAAAATCATCAGCTCTTGTGAGAACTCACTCACTATCATGAGAACAGCATGAGGGTAACCACTCCCATGATTCAAGTACCTCCCACTGGGTCCCTCCCATAACACATGGGGATTATGGGAACTAAAATTCAAGATGAGATTTAGGTGCAAACATAGCCAAACCATATTATTCTGCCCCTGGCCCCTCACAAATCTCATGCCCTCACAATTCAAAACATGATCACGCCCTTTCAACAGTCCCCCAAATTCTTAACTTATTCCAGCATTAACTCAAAAGTCCAAGTCCAAAGTCTCATCCGAGACAAGGCAAGTCCTTTCCACCTATGAGACTGTAAAATAAAAGAAGTTAGTTACTTCCTAGATAAAATGGGGGTATAGGCATTGGGTAAATATACCCATTCCAAATGGGAGAAATTGGCCAAAACAAAGAGGCTACAGGCCTCATGCAAGTAATCCAATAGGGCAGTCATTAAACCTTAAAGTTCCAAAACTATCTCCTTAGACTACATGTCTCACATCCAGGGCATGCTGATGCAAGAGGTGGGCTCCCATGGCTTGGACAGCACTGCCCCTGTGGCTTTGTAGGGTACAGTGCCCCTCCTGGCTGCTTTCATGGCTGCTGTTGAGTGTCTGCAGCTTTTCCAGCCACATAATGCAAGCTGTCAGTGGATCTACCATTCTGGGTTCTGGAGGACAGTGGCCCTCTTCTCACAGTTCTACTAGTCAGTACCCCAGTAGGGACTCCGTGTGGGGGCTCCAACCCCACATTTCCCTTCTGCACTGCCCTAGTAGAGCTTCTCCATGAGGGCTCTGCCCCTGCAGCAGACTTCTGCCTGGACATCCAGGTGTTTCCATACATCCTCTGAAATCTAGGCAGAAGTTCACCAAACTCAATTCTTGTCTTCTATACAATCACAGGCCCAACACTATGTGGAAGCTGCCAAGAATGGGGGCTTACACCTTTTGAAACAATATCCTGAGCTGTACCTTGGCACATTTTAGCCATGGCTGGAGCAGCTGGGACTCAAGTTGCACACAGCAGGGGAGCCCTGGACCTGGCCCAGGAAACCATTTTTCCCTCCTAGGCCTCCAGGTTTGTGATGGGAGGGACTGTTGTGGTCTCTGACATGCCCTGGAGACATTTTCCCCATTATCATGGTGATTAACATTTGGTTCATTACTTATGCAAATTTCTGCAGCTGGCTTGAATTTCTCTTCAGAAAATGGGTTTTTCTTTTCTGGCACATCAGCAAGCTACAAATTTTCCAAACTTTTATGCTCTGCTTCTCATTTAAACAATTTCCAATTCCAAATTCTATCTTTGTGAATATATAAAATTGAATGCTTTTTACAGCACCCAAGTCACGTCTTGAACACTTTGCTGCTTAGAAATTTCTTCTACTAGATACCCTAAATCATCTCTCTCAAGTTCAAAGTTCCACAGATCTCTAGAGCAGGGGCAAAATGCCACCAGTCTCTTTTTTAGAGCATAGCAAGAGTCACCTTTACTCCAGTTCCCAACAAGTTCCTCATCTCCATCTGAGACCACCTCAGTTTGGACTTCATTGTCCATGTCAGTATCAGCATTTTGGTCAAAGCCATTCAACAAGTATCCAGGAAGTTCCAAACTTTCCCCATCTTCCTCTCTTCTTCTGAGCCCTCCAAACTGTTCCATCCTCTGTATGTTACCCAGTTCCAAAGGTGCTTCTACATTTTCAGGCATCTTTACAGCAGTATCCCACTACCTGGTGCCAATTTACTGTATTAGTCCATTCTCAGCCTGACATGAAGAAATACCCAGGACTGGGTAATTTATAAAGCAAGAGGTTTAACTGACTTACAGTTTCACATGACTGGGGAGGCCTCAGGAAACTTACAATCATGGTGGAAGGGGAAGCAAACACATCCTTCTTCACATGACAGCAGGAAGGAGAAATGCCAAGCAAAAGGGGGAAAATCCCCTTATGAAACCATCAAATCTTGTGAGAACTCACTCACTATCATGAGAACAGCATAAGGGTAATTGCCCCCGTGATTTAATTACTTCTCACTGGGTCCCTCCCATGATACATGGGGATTATGGGAACTATAATTCAAGATGTGATTTGGGTGGGGACACAGCCAAACCATTATCAGCTCATTTGAAATGGTTTTATCAATATTAAATGAATAATGCCTGTAAAGGTTCTTGAAAGGATTAATAGCTTTCTGCTTGTAGGCACATGTACCATATGCGTAAATACATAACACTTATATATACACAATAGCTTCCTGCTTGTAAGCACATGTACCATATGAATAAATACATATATACATATATATTCCTTATAATGTAACAGGTATTCTTGATACTCTGATACTCTTCATGGCCCTCTGAATCCATTTTCCACCCTACTCTGCTCTCTAGGAAGCCCATCTTTCTGGACTGCATCAAATGGGAGTCATTGGCAGAAAGCCAGGGAGTGGGAAAAGTGAGATTGGGATATCAGTTTCTTTGGTCTCCTCCCTGCCAGGCCTCGGGTTGCAGTGCTTGCATTTCACTACTGAACTTTTCAGATCCTATTGGGAGGCCCTCTCCCAGTTACAGCCACATCTCTGGCTCTTTGTTCCAATAAATATTCACTCCCTTTCCCCCTTCAAGCCTAAGAGAGGTAATGGGTAAAAAGGTGCTTCTCCATCCTTTATTGGCTTCCCTGACAACAGACTTACCCTGCCTATACTATTGTAAATGGGTCAATTCTTTTTTTTTTTTTTTTTTTTTTTTGAGACGGAGTCTCGCTCTGTCGCCCAGGCTGGAGTGCAGTGGCGGGATCTCGGCTCACTGCAAGCTCCGCCTCCCGGGTTCATGCCATTCTCCTGCCTCAGCCTCCCAAGTAGCTGGGACTACAGGCGCCCGCCACTACGCCCGGCTAATTTTTTTGTATTTTTAGTAGAGACGGGGTTTCACCGTTTTAGCCGGGATGGTCTCGATCTCCTGACCTCGTGATCCGCCCGCCTCGGCCTCCCAAAGTGCTGGGATTACAGGCGTGAGCCACCGCGCCCGGCCCAATTCTTATATTATTACCCCCATTTGAGAGTGTCACCAGTTTTCCTGCCAGAACCTTGACTAATGCAAAAGGCAAATCAATTTGGGGGGCAGGGGGGGTCCCTCCATGAATCCCTTAACCTACTGTGGAAAAAAATTGATATACTGGTACTCTAAGGCTCACCTGCTTTTCTCATAAACACCCTCCAGTCATAGGAATACAGTAGAAGTATAGAGTTTGTAAATGAGTGTGTCTAGTGCAAGGAGGTGTAAAGGGTGAGGAATTAGGACAGGGAATTAAGCTTTCACAAGATTCATTCCTTGTCTTAAAATGCGTCATTCTATGATAAGGGGTTAATATCTAAAATATATAAAGAATTCAAACAACTTCATAGCAAGTAAACAAATAACCCAATTAAAAAATAAGCAAAGGATCTAAATAGACATTTCCTACAGGGAGACATACAGACGGCTAACAAGTACATTAAAAAATGTTCAACATCACTAATTATCAGGGAAATGCAAATTAAAACCACAACGAAATATCACCTTATACCTAGCTATAGATTAGCTATTACTATAGATTAGTTGTTATCATAAAGATAAAAGATAAGTATTAGCAAGGATGTAGAGAAAAGGGAACCCTGGTATACTGCTGTTGGGGATATATCATGTAGCCATTATGAAAAATAGTATGGAAGTTCCTCAAAAAATTAAAATAGAATTACCATACGATCCAGTGATCCTGATACAGGGTATATATCCAAAGGAAAAGAATTCAGAATGACAAAGAGATATCTGCAGTCCAACA
Source organism: Homo sapiens (assembly GCF_000001405.40). NCBI lineage: Eukaryota > Metazoa > Chordata > Mammalia > Primates > Hominidae > Homo > Homo sapiens. The sequence continues at coordinate 78,879,167 of NC_000014.9, read as the reverse complement.
TTCACTGCAGCATTATTCACCTTGGCTAAACATACGGAATCAACCTAAGTGTTCATCGACACATAAATGGAAATGGAAAAAGAAAACATGGTATATGTACACAACCAATATTATTGAGCCTTTAAAAAGATAAAAATCTCCTAATTTGTAACAACATGGACAAATCTTGAGGATATTATGTTAAGTAAAATAAGCCATGCTCAGGAAGACAAATACTGCACGACCTCGCTTATATATGAAATCTAAAAAAAAAACAAACTCATAGCAGGAGAGAGTAGAATGGTGGTTACCAGGTGCTGAGGTGGTGTAGGCGGGTGGGATTAGAGAGATGTTTGACCAAAGGGTACAAAATTCCAGTTAGATGGAACAATAAGTTCAAGAAATCCATTGTACAATATAATGACTACAGTTAATAACAATGTATTTTATACTTGAAAATTGCAAAGAGAGAGTTTAATTGTTCTCACAACAAAAAAATCAGTATTTGAGGTAATACATATGTTAGCTTGAGTCCACTATTCTAGTGTATACATATTTCAAAACTCAATATTGTACACCATAAGTATATTTAATTTTGTGAATTAAAAATAAAATGTGACATTCTGGTGGCTTCTGCTGCTTTGGAACAACAATGAATAAATTAGTCTTGGTTTGTACAATAGAAAAAAAATTTCTTTCACTTAAAATTACCTACACACAAAACAGTTACTGAGAAATTCATTTTGCATCACATTGGCTGGTTCCCCATCAGTGTAGAATTGCTTATGACTTTTCAATTAAAATGTATGTTCAGAAATTTTATTAAATAATTTTGCCTTGTAATGTGGAAAGATTCTCTGAAGGTTACTTGTGCCCTCTGGACTTTTTAAATAGTGAAGAAAAGTAAGTTTAAGTAACATAGCGATGGTTTTCAAACTCATTATTAAGGAAAGTAGATCAGTGTACTTTTGTATATTTATTTATAACTGAGTACGACATGCCCAATTACTTGTGATTATGAAAAATAATTCAAAGCAAATTTCACCCAGTAGCTACAGGCCTTTTTTTAACCAGAAAGATGATTTGCATGACCTACTCTCAGTAGCCAAATTTAATCTCACTAATGAACAGTGACCAAATTATTGGAATTAATAATGGATAGAAAAAGCAGTTAAGAATGTTTTACTGACCTCTTTTAATAAAGAAAGTTCTAAATATTCATCCTGCAAAAGCAAGTTTGGAATTATTTCCTTATTTCTTATTACTTACAAACTGCAACCTCTATGGGATGAAACTATTTATTTTAATTGCATTAAATTCCTCGAATCCAACATAGTATCTGGCACCTGGAAGGTGCTCGATTTATGTTTATTTATTAAATAATGGGATGAATGAATAAAGGATGAGTTCATTTTTAATTAATTTCTAATCCTCAAGGATTTGATCATCTTGTTGAAGAGTTAAAATTGTAATTGAGTCTTTATTTGCTTTTACTATTTCTACATAATTCATAGAACTTAACATTACACATGGATTCATAAAAGCCTGTCTATTCATTAATCAAATATTTGTTGAGCATTATTACAGGCAAGATACTGTGTTATGCACTGTGTGGGACAATGAGGTCAATGAGATGTAGACACTTCCTTCTGAAAGTGTAGAAGAAGGAATGAAATAAATACAAATCACTGCTCTACAAGGCAGTATGTATTTTGAATTCCAAGGAAGATCAACTGAAATGGAGTGAGAGTGAAAAGGAGGAGAGTTGACATCTAGATGGAAGGTAGAGAAGTCAGGGAAAGCTTCAGAGAAGGGATGGCTTTACACGGGGCCCTGAAAAAGGCATGGAATGGGGACCTTCAGAAAATATCAATAACCAATATTCATTCAACAACATGATGTTTACAAATAAGCACTTTTGCTATATACCTTCATCCGATCCTCATAGCACCCCAGTGGAATGAGTATAACTTCCTCAATTTTAGAGAAGATTAACTGACTTATCAAGATTTAAGAGAATATAAATTTGCTCAGCCAAGAAGCAATTGAATGAATGAACCTCACCTTTCTGGAAAGTCTACAATATCGAGTACAAATTGCACTTGTGAATGTTGAATTTGAATGAAATATTCTGAACACCAAGTGAAGAAGAATCTTTCAACTATATTGCATTGTCCTCTTGGGAAAGGATCTTGGGGTAGAAATATCCACAAATAGTAGACCAGTAGAAAACAATGATTTGCTAGGCTCTAGTGAAGAAGCAATGGAAGTATGGTTTTTTACAATATAGCTCGCCTGGAGTGACTGAAAACAGTAATAATAGCTAACATTTATTGAGTGCTTTTTATGTGGAATGCACTATGTAAAACCTTACTTGCATGCTCTTATTTAATCCTCACAACAACCCCATGTGGTAAGTGTCATTAGGAACCTATCTGTACATATGAGAAACACTAGGTTCAGAATTATAAATAAGTTAGGTGGGATCACACATTTGATAAGTGACTGCACCATTATTAACAACTCTTTGGTCATGTAACCAAACCTTTAATTAAGAAGACAATTCACAGCCACTTCTTAATAAGTCCTACAAGTAAAGAAATGTTACCTGGCATGTGAGTCATTAGTGGTATTGCTGGGTCTAAATATTCATCTACTTATATCCACCTTCATCAAACGTGCTCTGCCACATATAATTACAATACACTAAGTACACTATGAATCTAATTAGAGGTTTCAGTGACCAATGCAAGCAATAAATAAATCCGCAAATACATGAACTTCTATTGATTTGCTGCAATCAATAGAAATCTGCTTTTTTTCTTTTATGCAGTTATAGGTCCTCAGGGCTGGTTTTCCTCCTTTACATCAAGTCTGACATTTAGCTTTCAAGTTAAGTCCATGGCACAGAGTTTCCATTTTTCTCCCTTCTCTGCCTTTGAAAACATCACTCCTCAATAAAACCAAATACTCCAATTGCTTTGGCTTTGTTTTGTTTTAAAAGATGCTTTACTTTTGTCATTCTGCATTTGAAAGTGTAAGAAAACCAGGCTTTGCTGATTTAATATGATTCAGGTCAGAATTAGCCCTGCAGAAATAACTCATTATTCTCTTAAAGGGAATACAAATAAGCTTAAAATGAAAAGACTGCTGGGCTGATAGACATAAGAAATGGGGCCCAGACCCAGTTTTGCCCCTAACCAGCTGTGAGGCCCCAGAGGAGTTACTTGTCCTCTGCCTAAATTTCCTCATCCTCAAAAGAATACAAGGGGAGTAGTTGTTCTCAGTTGTTCCTTAGAAGTGTGAAATCCTATCGTTCTCATGCACACAAGGTTTTGTGTATTTATTCCTTTGCTCATTCACTCATTCTTTCTGCAAATATTTACTGAACACCCACAATGAATGCTACAACTGCGTGAAAAGTTGGTAAATTCCTAAAGGACATTCTCTTTTCACAGATATAACTGGGTTGAGAAAGCATTTTCAGAAAAAAACACTGTGTATTTAAAATAAAACACATTTTAAAATCACTTATTTAGCTTTTTTAATTGGGTAAATGTTTAAAATGAGCTGAGAAATGGTATTCAAATGGAGAGTTGGTATCTTTAAAACAAAATCCTTTAGTATAAATTCCCAACAGGGTACCATATATTCTATAATTTCTCATCTAACAGCCTATGGAAAAAAGTGAATAACTGACTTCCAAAGTGTATTTTTATTACGGCACTGTATGCTTTAAGTTTAAAAACTACAGAATATTTTTAAAGTTGATGGAGCCTACATCCCAAAGGCCACTTTATCCTATATTCAAGAAACTATCATGCTGTTATTTTTGTCTTTATAGCAAGCTGCTACTTTAGTAATTAGCAGTACATAAAAATGTGGGCAATTGGCTTCCTCCAGACTAATTAGCAAGTTTGCAGCGTTCCTGTCCCAGCTGGTCACACTATGTCTTTTCACTTTGCTCAGACCTAGTTGTTTTGCCAGTTCTAGAACCTTTTAAAGTTTGTCAGGAATAACAGATATCTCAATTGGCTTCTGAATTAAACTGTTCAGCAAAACGTTATGCAAGCTGGTTTAACATTCTCAACTCTTACATTCTGCTCTTCCAGCAGAGGCCCAGGAAACTCCCCACCCTCTTCACATTTCCTCCAACTATATTCATTTCGCTTGGGAATTTCTTCCATAACCAATTCTCCACACCCCTGTGCTCAAGTCTGTCCTCTCTAAAGTCCGTCCCACAGTTTAATTGATGGATTCTCACTCTCGGACTTGACACCCTGGTGGGACAGATTATCAGGCATCAATTTTCCCACAAGGTGACTCTTCTTGCATTATTCGCCTGCATGGTGCCACTTGTCAATGCCTTCTGGCATCTACTCCCCATCAAACACAGGCTCCTGATTCAGAACCCCAGACTTGACCCCAAATCAGTGTCAGAACATGACACCTGCCAGCAAAGAGAGAGCTGGAGATTTGGGCATGGAGGTAAGCAGTGGCACAGAGTGAATGGGAAAAATGAAAACGAGGATGTTGTCTTGGGAGAAGGAAGACACTCTGCCAACTGAACAGATGAGTCTCAAGACTATACATGATTTGAGGAGAAGGCAAAGATGAAGAAAATAGGATCTGATATGATACATCTGTAGTGATGGCTGGTAGGAGTTGCAGGAAGTGGTGGGTAGCAAATGGAAGATATTTGGTCCCTGAGACATCATGATGAAAAGGGTTGAAAATTTTCCCTGATAGTTCCCAAATCTGACTGATTAGCATCTCAGAAGCCCTTAAAATAGGTTTACAGCCCTATTCCACATTGATTACATTACTTACGACAATGTAAAAGAAAGAAGAATCTACATTTAAACAAATAATCCCCTTCAAGGTTCTTATGATCAACTATGTTTGAAAATCACTTCATGCCAGGCACAGTGGCTCACGCCTGTAATCCCAGAACTTCGGGAGTCCAAGGCAAGTGGATCACTTGAGGTCAAGAGTTCAAGACCAGCCTGGCCAACATGGTGATATCCTATCTCTACTAAAAATACAAAAATTAGCCGGACATGGTGGTGCATTCCTGTAATCCCAGCTACTCACGAGGCTGAGGCAGGAGAACCACTTGAACCTGGGAGGCAGAGGTTGCAGTGAGCTGAGATCGTGCCACTGCACTTCAGCCTGGGTCACAGTGAGACATTGTCTCAAAAAAAAAAAAAAAGAAAGAAAAGAAAATCACTTCACATGGTGCCTATGATCTTGACTACAGATAAAATTCCTATGCATTAACCCTAGGTGGGATAAAAGAAGGTTCACTTTTTTTCTAATAAAATCCTTTCCCTTGGACCAATTTTAAGACTACCCTGGGGACCTCATTAAAACGTAGATTGTGTTCCAGTAGGTCAGAGAGGAGACTAAGAATCTGTACTTCCAATAAGCTCCCAGGGATGCATGCTGCTAGACCACTGATCACACTTTGAGTAGCAAGTAGACTTCTGTACATCATACGAACCATCTCTTTATCTTCTAAAAATATGCTTTTGCTGCTGTTTTATCAACCTCAAATTTCCTGTGGGGAACTGAAGGAAGGAGATCACTAAGAATATTGTATTTGTCCTTTCAGTTAACTGAAATGATGTTTCTTGCCATTCCCATGATAGGCAAGCAGTAAAAGCCTGTTGAACAAATGAATAAAGGCCACACTCATGTCTGCTATTTTTATTTTTATGAGCCCAAACATGGTACTGAGATAATGAACATATTCCATACTGTACATTCAATCTTCAAAAATGTTATGGCAACTTCTCACTAAGTATGGTGGACTAAACACAAGCTTTCTATCTGTATTTTCTTTCAAAATCCTACTAAAATGGTTGTGAAAAAAATAAAGGCTGTATAGTTCGCAGTAGCAAAAGAGACTGGATGAAAAGACAATAGCAGAGGAGAAATGTCAACAAGATTTGGAAGATGAAAAGTGTATAGATGTGTGGTAATTGACAGTAGGACAGAAAAAAGTGGAAAGCTAAGTTTTTACAGAGAAAGAAGCCAGTAGTAAACAAGGATATTTTGCTGTAGAACCCTATAAAGTTAGAGAACTTGGAGGCATCACATATTTCTGAAGGCAGAGCCAGCAGTGGGGCTGAAAACAGATGGAGTGACTAAAAGCCTATATAAGGATCACATCAACTGAGAAATACCCTCTCCACTGCAGCAAAAATCAGCAAACACACTCAGAGAATCTGTTTAAGAAGAGCATTGGAATCTGACTTGAAGAGGCTCAGGCTGTGACAGCAGTGCGAAGTTATAAGAAAAATAGTAGGATTATGTGTAAATTTATATACTGACCCCTGAGACCAATCTGCCTAACAGACTCCCTTTTCTCCTCTGTTATGAAGATGCTATCCACCTAAATGCAGAAAACGCACAGAGAGAAAACTAAGACTTCAGAAACTGAATTACTAAAAAAAAATGACTTGAGAGAAAAGATCTGACATTTTGGAGGGTGGTCTCTTAATAAAATGGGTAGATCCCCACCTATTTAGATTTAGTGAATTTCACCCACTAATAATAATTTTGAAAATTGCTATAATTATACAGTTTCTAATGGTTTGTTAGAGTTTTATTATTAAGTGACAACAAACAGCCAAGATTAACTAGACAATGTAGGATAGGCTCTAATAGAAATATGAAACAAGAGACTAAGGTACATAGGAGAAAAGAAAGAAAGAAAATGGAATAAAAAAGAGATACAATGCAGAGAATAGAAAACTGATTTTAAAAGCCTCATCATTAATATGATAAAAGAAATGATTTGTATCTTTTAAAAACTGCAATCTGAATGCTATCAAAATAAGAAATAATACAACATAAAGCCCTTAGAAAATAAAATATATATATTAAAATATGTATATATATTTATTTATATGTAAATATATATACATATATAATAAATATATGTATATACATATTTATTAGCAAAGATTTATTCAACAAAAGAATTGGAAGATAAAATTGAGGATATTTATAAAATAAAACCTAAAATCAACATTGATGTATTGAATGTAAAGACATCAAAATAAAAATAGCACCATAACCACATTGTTTGGAAATATGGAAGTAAAATCAGAAGAAACAACTAAAAGAGTGAAAGTAATAGCTCTGGATTGAGGTGGGGAGGAGTTAGATCAAGTCTTTTCTGTTTTATTGTTTCCTTGTAAGCTTTGCAGGAATATCTATGTTTTTACACATTTATATGTGATAATCTAACAGAGACATAAAGATTTAACTTGAAAGAAAAGATAGGAAACATTTAGCAAAACCCAGTAATATATAACCAGGGCAATACAGCCAAAGGACAACAGGTAAATGGGAATGGCTTTTGTGATGACGGATCTCAGTTTAAAATAAAGAATAAACCTAACTAACAATAAAAAGTCTGAGTAGATAAATCAGGGAGCATATCATTGGATTAAATAGAGACTGGATGTCCAAGACAAGACTTCTAATGGAGAGGAGATTGGACTTCCAATTCCAAAGTTTTGGATGAGTCTTATAGACTGAGATATTTATATAATACTAACTATTCAAAGGATACAAATCAATCCACACAAATTTTACTGAATTAAATAATGCCACAAATTTTTAAGAGAACCAACAGTGTAGCACCTCAGGCAAAGATTCAAATTCGTACACTAAAGACTTATATTAACCCAAAGGGGATTCTAGCTGGACATAAGAAAAACTCACTTGAATAGGAAAGCTGTGAATTTCATATCATGTAATTTTTTAAGAAAAGATGACAATCTGGCTTGATAAATTAATTTTTCCCATTGAAGAGTAGAAACATGATAGGATGACTGAGAGATTTTCAGACATATTAACTTGTAGATTGTCATCAGAGAAATGCAAATCAAAACTACGATAAGACGTCATCTCACCCCAGTTAAAATGGCTTTTATCCAAAAGACAGGCAATAATGAATGCTGATGAGGATACGGAAAAAGAGGAACTCTAGTGTGCTGGTGGGAATAAATTAGTACAGCCACTATAGAGAACAGCACGGAGTATTCCTCAGAAAACTAAAAATAGAACTACCATATGATCTAGTAATGCCACTTCTGGGTATATATCCAAAAGAAAGGAAATCAGTATATCAAAGAGATATCTGCACTCCCATGTTTATTACAGCACTATTTACAATAGACAAGATATGAAATCAACCCAAGAATCCATCAGTAGATGAATGGATAAAGAAAATAAAGTACATATACAAAATGAAATATTATTCAGCTACTAAGAAACTGAAATCCTGTCATTTGGAACAACGTAGATGGAATTAAAGCATATTATGTTAAGAAATAATGGAATGAAGCACATTATGTTAAGAAGTAAGCCAGGCACAGAAATACAAATATTGCATACTCTCAATAATATGTGGGAGCTAAAAATAATATTGAACTCATGGAGATGGAGAGTAGAATGATGGCTACCAGAGACTGGGATGGGTAGTGGGGGAGGGGAACATAAAAAGGGGGATTGTTAAAAGGCACGAAAACACAGTTAGATAGAAGGAATAAGATCTAGCGTTCAGTAACACCTACAGGGTAATAACAGTTAACAATAATTTATTTGTATATTTCAAAATAACTAAAAGAGCAGAAGTATAATGTTCCTAACACAAAAAAAATGATAAATGCTTGAGGTGATGGATACCCCAATTACCCTGATTTGATCATTACACATGGCAGGTTTGTATCAAAATATCACATATACCCCATAAATATGTACAACTGGAATGTATTCATAATAATTAAAAATAAACTTTTAAAAAACTTATAGATTACAAAGGATGATCTATCCATGTTATTCTTATAATCAGATCAGCCAACATTTGTTGAGCAACTATTATGTTCCAAGCATTGTGCTTAACGGGAAATACCAAGATTGATAAAGACTTTTTTACTTGATCAAAACTTTAGTCAGACCCCTCTACCTTCTCCTAGGCTCATCTGTGCACTTCCTTGTAAAATCTGGTTTTAGCAAGAAGTGTGCTAAGTCAGTTTAGTAAGAACTGCCCCACTTTAGATATCTGATTACTCTTGATACCTGATTAAGTTCTTCATTCTCCACCAACTCCCAGGTGATACCTGATCACATTGGTTTGTCTTCAGCAAGAATTCTGTTAGGTCAGTTTAGCCAGAATTCCCATTACTCCTGATGTTACCTCTTAGTCATTGTCTGTCTGCTGACCTCTACTCTGTTCCTTGGTTAAAAATTCTCACTTGTTCATGCTATATACAGAGTTGAGCCCATTCTCTCTCCTACACTGCAAACAATTCCATTGCAGTGGCCCATATATTTATCATGATGGTCCTAAATAAAACTTTCCCTACCATGCTTTAACAATTGTCCTTCTATAATTTTTTCTTTAACAGGATGGATAAGATGAAGTACACACAGATGTACCTAATCCAGTGGATATTTGAGATGAAGGAAGAGCTGCAACATCAAACTGGAAAAGGGACACTGAATTATGTGCAGAACTTACCCTGTTGGAGATGAATATGAAAAGGCATTACAAGAAGAGGAAAAGGTATGGAGGCATGAAATGAAGTGCAATATTTTTGAAACCACAAACAATTTTACAGGCTGAAGCACCATCACAGAATGGCTCATCATGAGAGGAGGTGGCACAGGTAAGGAGAAGCCAGACCACAGAGAAACATAAGTTTAGATCTTATCTTGTAGGCAACTAGAAGACTTTGAATGGTTTCAAGCAAGTGGGAGATGTGATTAGATTTAAGGTTTTAAATAATCTGGATGATGGTTTTGAGAGTGATATGCCTGGAAATAGAAATAGCGAATAAACTAGCCTATTATAAGTAAAGATAGTAAGAGCTCACCCTAGATCAGTGATCGTGTGGAGAAAGACATGAAGAAGAGAAATGGTTAAAGGTAAAATTGACAATTGATTGACAATTGATTTAATATTTGCAGGGTACGGGAAGAAAATGCCAAGAAAAATTCCAAACTTCATGGCTTTGCTTAATTTGATGTTCAAATGTCCCTTTCCCTATCCCAGGATATCTTTCTTTTTGTCTATCCTAGGCATTTTCATAGCTTCTTATCCATACCCTTTATATTATGTGTTTTGCTTTATTAAAATGACTCATTTCTGGATTTAACTTCTCCAAGGAATCTAATCTGTCACATGCCAAGCGGGACCTACAGTTACTCCGTAACTGAGTCTTTGGCTCTGATTGCCCTAAATTTAAGCTATTCAACAGAATTCCATTATGATGCTAAGTGAATGGGATGCCATTCAGTTGCAAAGCTATGTTTCTTTTTTATTTTATTTTATTTTATTTTATTTTTTTGAGATGGAGTTTCGCTTTTTTTGCCCTGGCTGGAGTGCAATGGTGCAATCTCGGCTCACCACAACCTCCTCCTCCCAGGTTCAAGTGATTCTCCTGCCTTAGGCTCCTGAGTAGCTGGGATTACAGGCATGCACCAACATGCCTGGCTAATTTTTTGTATTTTTAGTAGAGATGGGGTTTCTCCATGTTGGTCAGGCTGGTCTCAAACTCCTGACCTCAGGTGATCCACCCACCTCGGCCTCCCAAAGTGCTGAGATTACAGACGTGAGCCACTGCCCTGGCCTATGTTTCAAGTAGAAATATTGTGGCTTTGATGGAAACAAAACACTAACTCCATCTAGCATTTAAAACAGGGTTTGGCTGTACTTTCACAATTTTTATGTTTTGTTACTGACTAGTCACCTGTAATCATAGTTTTAACAATAAAATAATGTAGGCCATCAACACAAATTTCAGATCAACTAAGAATTTTAAAGATTTTGTCTTTTGAGTGCAGAGAGGGTCACAGCATTTGGGGTGGGAATTAGGAAAAAAGGAACTAATATTTAATCAAGTTACTACTGAGTGTCAGATGCTACTATGCAAGGATCAGAACTTGCCCTAAATTATATGGGGATTTTAGAAACAATTTTGCCTATACAGGGGAGAAAGATTACTCATACATCACAAGGTTCCTGGATAAGGCTCCTGTAATAAAGACAGATTTATAAGAGAAAACAAATTTACTTAATAATTTATATTAAGTAAATTTATATTAAGTAAAATTAAGTATATTTTATATTAAAATTTATATATAAATTTATAATAAATTTATATATGATTTAAAATTACAATCATTTTTGTAATTTTATAATTATAAAAATATTAAATTTACATAAATTTATATTAAGTAAAATTTATATTCATTCATAAAGAAGCATATATTTATTTATATAAAACTTATACACAGGAGCCTTCAGAAATGAAGGCCCGAAGACACAGGGAAATCTGGGTATTTTTATGCTTAGGTTTGATAAAGAGTGGACAGTCGTGCATGGAAGTATAATTGGAGGACAAAAGAGTACAATCTAATGTTAATAAACTGGGGGTAACACGGCAAGGCCTACTTGTTCAGATTCTTTTCAGTGTCCCTATGTTTTCAGAGATAAGGACATTCTTTTCCTCCAGGTACAGGAAGAACGCCTCTGATATAATAGTCTTATGACCTATTTTCTGGGAAAATTCAGTTAGCTTTCATGACTGCTTCAGGGAAGAAGGGGCAAGTAGATTCCTTTCAAGTTTCTACGGCCTCCTTCTGCTGATTCCTCAAATGCCAAATTTTGAGTCAGTGTGTTCTGAGCTCCATTACCTAGCACTGAAAATTAAAATTAAACAATTGCTGTGATCCATTTGATCAGTAAGAATCTCTAATATTTTCTATGAATACAGAATAGACATCTTTTTAAAAAGAAAGAATTCAAGATGTTAGCAAAAACATTGTCTGTAATTATAAAATTAATGGCTAAACTGAGGCCCAGAAAATATATTAGACTTGAAACCAAGACCCTGGGGTTCCAATACTGGTATTTCTGACAACCTGTGTGATTTTAGCAAATACCTCCACTGGATTGTGCTACAGTTTTCTTACTGATAGAGCAGGTGGTAAAAAGTCTAACTCACTTAAGTTACTATGATAAGAATACCATAAAGTAAATGTGAAAGCATTTAAAAATATAAGGGTAATACTGCCAGGTGCGGTGGCCCACGCCTGTAATCCCAGGACTTTGAGAGGCTGAGGCAGGTGGATCACAAGGTCAAGAGATCGAGACCATCCTGGCCAACATGGTGAAACCCCATCTCTACTAAAAATACAAAAAATTAGCCGGGCATGGTGGTGTGTGCCTGTAGTCTCAGCTGCTTGGGAGGCTGAAGCAGGAGAATCGCTTGAACCTGGGAGGCGGAGGTTACAACGAGCCGAGACCGTGCCACTGTACTCCAGCCTGGGCAACAAAGCAAGACTCCATCTCAAAAAAAAAAAAAAAAAAAAAGATGAAGGTAATACATGCATGCAACATGGTAGTATTTTTATTGTTTATACTTCTGTATCTAGGAATTCATGATCTCCAGAATGTTGCTGAATAATATCTTTGATCATACAAGGATAACCAGTCCTGTGAATTTTGGAAGCTATGATAGGTTAATCTATCAGTAGGAACACTATTTCATTATGAAGAATTTTTTATGAGCTTCTCTGTACTACTTTGCAGTCTAATCAAGAAAATGAATGCAGACTTCTTATTTTCCCCAACAAGTGCTAAAAATGCTAAACTGTGTTCATTCATCATAAATTTACAATATAGCCCTGTCATTGGTGGGTTAAAGATAGCTTGTGTCACTGCTTCCAGATTTAATCAGACTTACTAATAATCATTCCTAAGCTCAAGGATAATAATACATATTCCACACAAAATAATGCTGATTTTTCATTAATGCCTCAGGGATCAAATGATTATAGCCATCACTATTCTAATTTAGTATAATCAACACAAAATTACTTAGGATTTGTTGGCACTTTTTCAGTGTGATGATGAAAACGTCATTTTTTTCTTTTCTTTCCCCAGAACACCTTCCCTTTAGAGCTATGCTTCTCTGGGTATACAAGAACAATCTAATCTCGACTTTAAAATCAGCAGAGACTATAGAATTCTTAGGATATCAGTGATCCAAACATCTGTATATTCAAATATGCTTTAAATGTTATTGCTTATTTTGAAAATCAGACCTGATTAGTTTCAGTCTTTTGGTAACTTAGTTATGAACCTGGTGATAAATTAGTCACCATTTGGCTTTTTTCTTCCCTGATTCTGATAAAGAGAAAGGGTCATTATACTAGCAACAACTGTAACATATTTGATAATTTAACAATAATGTTCTATTTCAGGGGCTCTGAAATTTTCCCACTGTAGAAGTAATGCTGCTCTAATTGATCTCTCTCATTGATTGAATAAATGTTAGTTCTGGCCATAAAACCAAACCTCTGTATACTGACTGCCTTATCTGTCTTATTATAAAGTGACATCTACAACAATGCCTGGAAAACCATGGTCTCTTTTGTTTAATTCCAAAAGAACCTAATTTCAGAGATATTCACTTTAATAAATTTTATGCTAGGAGTATTTTACTGGAGATGGTGTTGGAGAAGACAAGGATTTTGAGCATGTCACAATGTATAAATCTAGTTTTCTTCCAACAGAAGCTTTGATAGGTATTTAAATTAGAAAGTTACCTGTATTAGCCATATTTACATTTCTGTAGGCTGTACACTCTAAGAATTCTAGTTTAAAAGTCACTGGTTCATTTCAGTATGCATAGCCAGTCTCAAGTTGTCACATTTTGTTCATCAGTTTTCCTTATCTCTTGCATTTTTCAAAATTCTGTGACTTTCAAGCACATTGAACCTTCTTACTTTTACAACTTCACTATCATTAATTATTTTACTTATTATGTTAACACTGCATTATCTGCCTGCAGAATTTCAACCACCATTTTCATAGAAATGTTAATACAATATATTTCAAAGTTCACAACAATACCATGGCCAATAGATCAATTGTAATCAATGATTAATAGTGAGTTAATAATGGTTGTTCATGAGTAGATAAGCACTACCTTCCTTGTCTTTTTTTCATAGCTCACAACATTTCAAATTGAGACATTAATGAGTGCCATGGATGAAAGATTGATCAGCTTACCTTCATGAAATGTCAAGTACCTGATGGGGTTCAGGACATACTACCCCAAAATACAGCAACTTGGCATTTGAGAAAGCAGCAGAAGCAGAAAGATCTCTTTGACTTTCTCTCACTCTTCTCCCCTGAAGCAGACCATAAAATAATCCTCTGACTTTCATCTAAAGCAAATCATAAAGACCTTCATTCAGAGGTATTCTCTCTAGAACTAGAGGAAAGCAGCTGAACACACAGAGACACCAGGAAGAATCTGAACAATAGGCCTTGCTAAGTTTCCCCCAGCTTATTACCATCAGGCCATGCCCACTTTTGTCCAGCCATACTTCCCCAAGACTGTCCACTCTTTATGAAACCAAAGTCTAAAATACACAGGATTCCCTGTTTCTTTGGGTCTTCCCTTCAAAGGCTCCAATGTCACATAAAAATTATATTAATTTGTATGCTTTTTTTCCTGTTAATCTGTCTCTTATTACAGGATACCTCAGCTATGAACCTAATAATGGGTGGGAAAATAAATCTTTTATCTCCTATATACTTGTGGCAAGTACTCATAATGACCAGAGTATCTTAAAATGTATGGAGAGGTGAAGCACCGAAAGGATAAGTTAATGACAATAATTCACATTTTTAAAATGTTGGCTAGGTTTCAGTTTCTGCCCTAAACTTTGGATATGCATTATCTCATATAATTCTGGCAGGAATCTTCAGTGTGAGGATGTTTTATTATTCTCAATTTGCAAATTTAAAAAATATAGATCCATAGAGTTAAAGATTTACCCAAGATTACATGGTTAGGGATTGGTGGACCTAAGATAAAAATCTACACTGTTTATTCAAAAGTTCACTTGTTGAACTTTTCAATTCAGGCATGTCCTTCTTCTTAAATTACAATGGATGAAATTAGGGAGAAATACAGAGGTGAAGTACATGCAAAACTTTTGCCCTAATCATTGACTGTCAACACCAGCTCCAACTCTCTAAATGTATTTTGAGTCTTCCAGTCAGAAAGGAAGAGATACATCCTAAAATAAGCTGGAGATGTACAGTAAGAAGTGATCTCAATTTTATTTATTTTACCAATTTCAAAGACAATATGTTCACAGGAGTTGTTTATACTTTTACTATTTTTCATCTACTAAGGTTAAACTATTGTAAAATTGTCTTTGAACCTACATTTTACCAAGATCCTACTTTTTAAATGAAGAATTTCAATTAAACCATTCTGACTCATTGAATTTATAATGATGATGAGGAGGAAGGAGAAGTGGGAGGAGAGAGAAGGTCACAATGAAAAAGAGGAAAGTGACAAAGAAGTCCACGCTTGATTTTTCAGTTTATTTTTATGGATTATTAAATGAATTAAAGGCTCCTTTTTAGAATATTTATGTATTTGTGGACTGAAATAAAATTGTTTTTAATTACTTTATAATTAGAGATCAAATCAATGATCTCATTGCTTCAAGAAACAAAATTGAGAGTCAAGGCACTTGTTGGGAAGGCTGTAGGTATAAATTTTAATTGAAATTTGGCTAAACATGGGTTGAAGAATGTACTAGGTTAGAATGTAGGGCATAGCAAGGGTCGGGACAAAAATCTGTCACATATGATTGATGAGATCATACAAAGAGCAATCAGAGCAGGCAGTATGGGTAGGGAATAAAAGGTGAAGATAAGAAACAACAATGGAAAAAATAGGTCAAGCCCAGAGACTAAGGGGACTGAGTTGCAGAGCACGTTCAGCACCCTGGATAGCTCCATACGGGGGCTGAACTGATAAACCTCTAAACGTAGGCTCCTAACCTCAAAATCTCATACTAATGCAAAATTTGTTTTCTTTTTGGAACTTTTTTGGCTGTCATGCATATAAGAATTGGTTCATATAAATTCAGTAAATCAGTTGATTTTCTTGTCAGATTGAGGATGTTGTATTGTAGCCTGACTTGTGGACTCACAGGGATACTCGTGGTTTTAATAGGTCTGATGGCCGAAATAAAGGACTTCATCATCCTGCATCTTGGGCAGGAGTTTAGCTTAAATACGGAGCCCTATAGGCATATCAGAAATGTATTATCCTCTAGAGGGTTTCATCAACAGCAATTTCCATTAATTTAAATTTATAAACTTTTCCACTGTGGCAGAGATAATCATATAAGCATTAATCCAGAATTACAAGGAAATGTCAAATGGTTTTTCAGACCTGCAAAATTATATTTTAACATTCTCTGCATCAGCTATGCCTACTTATATCTATCAATGCCACTCTCATCTGAAATTCCACTTTATAATTTTTATATGTTTAAACTGAGAAAACATATTTCCCACTAAATATATTTAAATCCTGTGTTATCTACTTTTTTGTACATGTTTTCATGACAGAGTGGTCTTATTTATTTTTGTATACTCAGCCCCTAGTACTCTATCTTGCATATGATAGGACATTAGTAAATGGTTGTTGAACAGATAAAATACTAAACGGGTAACCATTCTGTATAAGCAGCAAGTTATAATTATACATTATATAAATACGAATTAGAGATTTAATAAAACAGACCATACAACAAATTTAATTGGCATGATGTTGATCCAATTTACCATTTATCCAAGTTCTGTAATCCTAAAAAATCTTATAGGGATATCCTGCTGGTACTGAACATTTTACTAACCTTAAGCTAAATTTACTGCTCCCTTAAAGCTATGTGGATATTTAAAGATCTATCATTAGTAATAAATCTTCGCAAATATCCACTCTCTACTAGTCAATCTATTTTTCAAATCTGCCAAGCTCATTCATACTTTAGGGCTTTTTCCATCTATCTATCTATTTATCTATCTATCTATCTATCTATCTTTGCTATTTATAACAATCTTGTTATAGATATTCTTGTGACTAGCTACTTCTCATTCATGTGTAAGTTCAAGTCACCAACTAGAAAGGTCTCCCTAAGTAAATAGTATGTGTATACCACACCACTACCACATTGTTCTGATTCATATTCCTCAGGACATTCTTCAATATTAAACTGCCTTATGTAGAGGTTTTAGTTGTTTACTAGTACAACTGGAATGTAAACTCTAGTTCACATGGAAACAGGGACTTATCTGTCTTGTTCACTTTAATATCGTCAGTGCCTAAAAGAGTGCCTAATAAAAACATTGCTAACTAAATAATTAAAATATCCTATACTGGCTTTACAGATGGAGAAGCAACTATGTCACCTAGAAGAAATAAGGAAATGGGAAACTAGTTGAATTACTAGAAAGCCTGAGTGAGAACTTGATTAATTGTGTGGATAACTGACACTTGGTTTTACTGATGACAGGATGTGAGTGCATGTTTAAAACAGTATTGAATTAATAGAATTGTTATTACAGACTAAACATACATCACAGACTCACACTCAAACTCACACTCACTTCTTTAAGCAGTGAACATGGATGGTTTCTCTATGACAGCACAGCATCATGTATGTCTATTTACAACATGAGCATAAAATAAGAAGGGTGCATATGACAGGGTTCTTAGAAATACACTGATAGTTAAGTAATTATGTGTGTTTTAAGAGTTGGTATTACTTTGATGCTCATGTTAACAGTATCAAAACACCTCAGAGGAAACTCTGAGAAGGTGTGAACTCTTATTTATTTTTCAAGGAAATTCAACAGGATTCCAAGAAAAAAGAAAAAGCATCTTTGAAAGCTTCATTCAATTGAGACAAAAATTCTAATGCTTAAATGTTTGTCAATGTTTATTGGTATATATAGATAATAGAAAGAGTAGACAGATACAAATATTCCTAAAATGAATCTCCTGTTTGGCTAATGCAAATTAATGTTCAGAATAACAAAGCCTATAATTGTTATTTCATATAACACAAACTGTAAAACAACTTGTAAAAGTTGTATTTCATATAACATATTTCCTGTTGTGATTACCTTCCATAATTACAGTTACTATAACTCTCAGTTTAGCTTTGTGAAGACTTTTATGCAGAAAGGTGGAACTATTACAGGACTATACCTGGTAATATACATGATACACATATATAACGATCACCTAGAAAAATGCCATTTATACCACCAACTCAGAATACGGTAATGGCAGTGATGTTATTATCAAGGTACAGTCGACCCCTGAATAACATGCATTTGAGCTGTGTAGGTCCACTCATATGTGTATTTTTTTCAATAAAGCTCACACTGAATATACTGCCTCCTTCGCCTCTCCTTCCACCTCCTCCATATCTTCCACCTCTGCCATGCCTGAGACAGCAAGACTAACTTCTCTCTTCCTCCTCCTCAACCTGCTCAACATGAAGACAATGATGATGAAGACCTTTATGATGATCCACTTTCAGGTAATAATAGTAAATATATTTTCTCTTTCTTAATAACATTTTCTTAATATTTCCTAATATTTTCTTAATAACATTTTCTTTTCTTTAGCTCACTTTATTGTAAGAATACAGTATATAATACATATACAAAATACACTTCTTTTATTTAAAAAATGCATCCTAGTTGTCATAACCTAAAGTGACAATTCTAAGAGGTGTACATGTGCACTTGATGGAAATTCCAACCCCTGAAATTTATCCCAACACATACTGAAAGAATGTGATTAGAAAAATGTCTCCTTGCCTCTCCTACCAAATATATGACAGTTAGTACAAGACAGGTAAGTTTTTCCTGGAGTTAAGGTTTATATAAGATGGAGGGCATAGAGGGTAGAATTTAAGCATGAACTTGAATGCTGAATTTACTATCTAAGAGCTAGTAGACACTGGCAAATTACTTGATCCCATCAAGCCTCACTCTCCGTATAGATAAG
This sequence comes from Homo sapiens, assembly GCF_000001405.40. Lineage (NCBI taxonomy): Eukaryota > Metazoa > Chordata > Mammalia > Primates > Hominidae > Homo > Homo sapiens. Next base: position 78,860,265 of record NC_000014.9, on the reverse strand, counting down.
GATGATAGTAAAAATACCTATGTAATAGCTAATAAATCATTATAATGAGAATTAAATGTAACAATGCATATAAGGTACCCAGTGCAGTAAATATTTACACATTAAATACTCTGTAAAAATTTAATAAATGTTAAGTGTTTTACTAATAATTTTGGCCCTGAAATTTTCATCTCAGGGCTAATAATAGCATATTACACCTGAGCATCCAATTGGGCCAAACTGTCAAAGAGAAAGGAATTAAGCCTACATGTTCTTTCCTACCAAAACTTTTGAGTTTTAGAAACTTATTAGGATATAATCTTCAGTAGCTCTTGCTTCTCAGGGACTAAGGATCTTTAGAGGAAAGATGGCAAGTAGGAGTCTTCACTGATGGAGGGGAGAGGATAAAAGTGAGAGTAATAAACATGTCTAAAGTGACTTTGTGTCTTCTTCACTACTTCCACACTGTTTACAGACCAAAGTGTGAAGAAAATGAAGGTATTCTATATGAATTTTCAAGAAAGTCCAACAGTAAACAGGCACTTACTGAATAATAATTGGGTACTTAAGCTATTCTAGTATCTCGGGAGATGATATATATAACAAGACCACAGTCCCCAAATAAGCTTAAGATTTTCTTGGGTAGACATACCAATAATTAGATCAACAAAGAGTTGAAAGTGGCAAACAGGGAATTGCTACAAAGTGTGGGGGCAAAGAGGGGAATTCTGATGAAAGGGATCCCATTTTTTGCTGTTCTGTTATAAACGCCAAGCTCAACCACATGGAACTTATATCAAGAAGATACAGGTCAACTGCGAGCTCCACAACATCATCAGACTGGAAAATCTAGAGAATCACATCTTGGATGGGAGAAAAGAGGTGGCGTCATATTATTAGCATCTGGTTGGTTTTATTACTCTTTATTCCAGATTTACATAAGCCAGATTTGATCCAGTGTTGGTCCATTCTCACACCGCTATGAAGGAGTACCCAAGACTGGGTAATTTACAAAGGAGAGAGGTTTAATTGACTCATAGTTCCTCAAGGCTGGGGAGGCCTCAGGAAACTTACAATCATGGTGGAAGGCAAAAGAGAAGCAGGCACCTTATTCATGGGGTGGCAGAATAAAGTGATTGCAAACAGGGGAAATGCCAGACACTTATAAAACCATCAGATTTTGTGAGAACTCACTATGATGAGAACAGCATGGGGGAAACCGCCCCCCTGTGATTTAATTACCTCCACCTGGTCCTGCCCTTGACACATAGGGATAACAGGGATTACAATTTGAGGTGAGATTTGGGTGGGGGATACAGCCAAACCATATCAGATTCTCTGGATTACTGCCTGTGAAAAATGTAGGAATACATACAGATTTCTAAAAGAACACTGAAGGCATGAAACACTGAATACTTGAAATCCCAAACTCTAAAGACCTTACCTAATAGAAAGAAAATGAGCTCACATATTTGTTGTGGTTCCACCAGGAACAAACACTTCAAACAAGCTGGCAAAGGAATCATGTGGAGCAGAATAAAGGTTCAATCAGCAGTTAACAAAAAAGTCCTCCGGAAACCTGAGTCCACTGAGAACTTAAACGTACGTCAAATCCTATCTGAAGTACAAAGATCAAATGTCAGGGTGAGACAGAGTAGCATTTCTAAGTAGTTGAGGAATTTATAAGCTCCAAAGGAAGTAGATTGCCCTTTGTTAATTACCTTTACTTACATCTTTTTGGTCTCAACATTATAACTGTCCTAATGAAGAAAAATATTGAGATTCCTCCTCCCTAGACAACCTTCATCTTTACCTCTTTCTTCAGAAGAGAATGAATTAAAATTACTCTAGTGAAGGTAGAACATCTAGCTTGCCGGGCTAAAAATCCACACATTACAAACTGCCTGCTTCCTGGCCCACAAAGCTCTCCATTTCCACACCCAATCACGGGCAATAATTCAATGGTATAGCTCCAGATTTGCATGGCAGGTCAAGGATTGTCACTAAAGTCTAAATTCCCCAGACAGGTGTCAGGGCTGCAGTCAAGGGTTGCCTTGTCATTGACATCAGCTCTCCTACTGCCTCAGCACAGACTTTACCAGCACCACCGGCCTGTCACTCACCTTCTGCAGATGGAATTCCTGGAAGTGCAGAGAGAAAGGGCAACACATGGTGTAAACTCTCTGCCACTAGGGAACTCCCCTAGCAAATTAGTTTTCTGGTTTATTTTCAGAAACTTTCCTTCGTAAGTGTACCTTCTTTTCACAGCATTCTACTTCCTATCTGTAGAAGCCCTAACCATCCCCGGAAAAGCTGAGTAGAAGAAACTAATTCAGAATCTTGGATAAGGGTATAACCTAAGAGTTTAATTATTTTTCTGTGCATTCAGTAACCTCCACTATACTTTGCTCCTCTACCCACCACCCTTCCACATTTTTTACTTACTACACATTGATATTTCTTTGATTGTTTTCCCCACCACCTCTAATTAATCATATGTTGAAGTCACTTTTTCCATACACACCCAGATTTTCCCTATTTATAGCTCCTTCTCAACCTATTATCTCTGCTGGGGATGGTGCTTCCCCATTTATATTCATCTGACTGCCTTCCCCCAGTAATATAAATTATTTTTTCCTTCCCTCTTTACACTAGCTGAATTATTTCAGCATACATTCATATCCCTTAAGAGATGTTTCACATAGTAGATGCATATTTATGGATATAAATTACACGCACACACAAACACACACACACTGGATGACTTTTTAATTACACATTTTTAATTGCAGAAAGCTTGGATTTCTTTAAGGTAATTACAGAGTTTGGACGCATCAAATTTCTACAAATCCCAATCCTTGTAGAGCCTCATCCAAGGCTCTACAGCTTCCATGCTTGTAATGGATTGCGAATTTCAACCCTAAGACTGCCAGAATAACTTCCTTCAACACTGCTTTATGCAGCATTTTTTCTTTTGGCTCATTCTAAATATGTTCATCTTCCAATGTAAATGTTGAAAAGGAAGGAAATCTACACATTCGGATGTCTTAAAAAGTGAGAAAAGGCCTGGCAAAGACAGTAAATATGCCTAACCTATGCCTTTGGGAGAAAGAAAAAAAAAACAATTCATATATGCCATCTTAATCTGTATAGGAGTCTGGCCTGAAGAGTTTTATACTTGATGTGTAGCATGAAAACATTTTCATTGCATAACATATGTAACCATGGGATAAAAAAATAAATAGTACAGCACAGGCCAGGTGTGGTGTCTCGTGCCTGTAATCCCAGCACTTTGGGAGGCTGAGGCAGGCAGATTACTTGAGGTGAGGAGTTTGAGGCCAGCCTGGCCAACATGGTGAAACCATGTTTCTACAAAAATACAAAAATTAGCTTGGCATTGTGACACACGCCTGTAATCCCAGCTACTCGGGAGGCCAAGGCAGGAGAATCACTTGAACCTGGGAGGCAGAGGTTGCAGAAAGCCAAGATCACACCATTGCACTCCGGCCTGGGCAACAGAATGACTGAGACTCTGTCTCAAGAAAAAAACAAATAAAACAGCATGAAAGTTGAGCATCACCTTTAAAGATAATATTACCTATCCATAAGACACTCAACAGGGCAGAATAAATATTTGAAGACTTTAGAAGTCTACAAATACATTAGCTTTTTTTTAATTTTACTTTATTACTGTACTGAACTTCATCCTCTGGAAAAACGTATAAGAAGAGACAACAAGGAGTAAACACACATCAATGATCTTACTTTGCTATTGACTATTACAAAGGATTTATAAAATAATTGCTATTTCAAGTTCCCAAGAACCCAATATACATTTTAGAATCCAGAAGTATTTACATTAGTTACTTTATAAATGGTTACTTATTTTTGGGGAGTTATATTTTGAATATACCCTCTAAATTTTTGGATAAATGGTTACTTACTTTAGAGGAGTTATATTTTGAATATATCCTTTACATTTTCGAGGTTGATGTCATAAAGAACATCTATGCTTTTAGGAGCCCCCATTCTTGTTATCAGTGTAAGAAAACACATGTTGAACCAAAATGGTATTGAAGTCCAGTTTCCAAAGGGGAAAAATGACTTTGCAACTGTGAAAAGCTTCATAGACCTCCTGTGGAATGCCTGTAGGCATACTGAGGTTGGAGTGTTTTACACAGCAGTCATAAGCAGTGGATGAGGGTTGTGCATAGCAACATGGTGGAACTAAGAAGAGACATTAAGGTTCAAATACTCTGACCCTTTCTTGGTACCAATGAGGAAAGAAGACCCAGAAAGATGGTAAAGTGGCTTGACCAGGTCAGAAAGCTACTTAGTGATTGAAACATGACTAGAAACACAGGCTTGGGGACACTTCCATTTTTACAGGAAAATCTTTATATTCTATAAGATAATATTACAGATGAAATACTATGACTGTAAAGTTCTGCAGAATGTCAGTAACAAGCTCTCCTTAGAATGCCTAATAAGAAAAATCTGTATATTCTAGGAAGGTATACAATCATGAACGAATCTCCACTGGAGCAATACCCCAAAGTAAAACCAAAATTGTAGCTAAATTTGAAAAATACTGTCAGATACACTTTCTTCAAATTATTTTTGACAGTAGCATTCATTGCCTCTGGGTTCTTAGAATTTGATAGAAAACAGGTTTAGTTTTTTTTGTGCTAAAATCATTCCTTTTCATGATCTCAAATTCTAGCAGTAAATGCCACCCTTTTAGATGAAACACTGTATAAAGAGGAGGTACACAGACATATAATTCAGGAAAACACAGGTATAACACATAGAACAGGCATTGGGATTACAGGTTTTATTCTAAATGTAAAGCTGTAAAGTGTCCACATGCTTTTTATGAATCATTATACCAAAGTGTACCTTTTTCAGAAGAGATTAACCAACCCTCAGCAGGCAGGTTTTCATCTTGTTTGTTTGCTTTACTGAACTTTACCAAAGTAATAATGTCATAAACATTTGTCTCTACAAAACTTCGAATCTTCTGGTAGAAAAACATAAAAGTCACTCTATCGTTGAAGACTATAAACCTTATGAAGAAAAAGGGCTATAGTCATATATACCTTTTTTGTATGTTTTTTTTTTTTTGAGATGCAGTCTCGCTCTGTCCCCAAGCTGGAGTGCAGCAGCGTGATCTCGGATCACTGCAACCTCGGCCTCCCAGGTTCAAGTGATTCTCCTGCCCCAGCCTCCCGAGTAGCTGGGACTACAGGTGTGTGCCACCACACTCAGCTAATTTTTGTATTTTTAGTAGAGACGGGGTTTCACCATGTTGGCCAGCTATCATAACCTTACTCAGTAGCTATCATAACCTTACTCAACCTGTATTTTTATATACGCTTAATTTACTCCACCTCAGTGACAATATTCCCTGGATGGTCTCGATTTCTTGACCTCGTGATCCACCCACCTTGGCCTCCCAAATTGCTGGGATTACAGGTGTGAGCCACCGTGCCCAGCCCATATATCTCTATATATATTTCCCATTCTAACTAATGTAGGCTTAGCAAAAACCTATTTTGAGGACAAAGCAAGGACTTCTTAGCCAGGAAACTTTTCATTTAATTCATAGCTTTTCCACTTAGTAGCTGTATGACCTTGAAAAGAATAGCCTCTATTATACACACTCACACACATGCATATACTTATACACACACTTAAAATCAAATTAGCAAGCAAATAACTATAACACTGTAGGTGCTCAATAAATTTTAATTTAATTTATTCATTGTTGGCATTTCAAACATAACTATTGGACCAAATTTACCTACCACTGAAATATGGCCCACTCTTGGGTAATGGAGGCTAACAGATCTTTTTTTGCCTATCGATTGACATGCTACATAGAATTTTGTGCAATTAAAAAAAAAGGTAAAGCTAGAAGAGGGAGCTGAAGTCACTTGTAAAGATCACCTACAGTAAAATGTGACCACTAGCCCGCCAAGGTAAGGCCCAAAAAATTATGACTAACTGTTAAAGCAAATCATGTTTGGCAAGGCCGAAGCATGTGTTACAGAAACTTGGGACAGGATGACAGCTACTAAAAATTAGAAACACCAAATTCGGCTGATGACAGCTGCCAAGGATATATGACAACTAGGAAATAACAAGAG